>NC_000004.12:109224411-109375926 GCF_000001405.40 Homo sapiens
CGGGCATATATGTTTAAATATCAGTCATCTTAACTTAAAATCTCATCTGGGAGTTTGTCTATATTGTATTATGTTTACTTAACTTGGGCTACATCTGTACTCCTTAAAGTTTAAAAAAAAAATCAAATCCATTTCAGTCAAAGAATGTAAATTACTTCACTAAAATATGATAGAAATTCTTGTTTCTACCAACTCAGTAGAAGAGTGATTCTCAAGCTGCAGTGTACCTTAAAAATACAAATGCCTGGCTGGGCACAGTGGCTCACACCTGTAATCTCAGCACTTTGGGAGTCCGAAGTGGGTGGATCAACTGAGGTCGAGAGTTAGAGATCAGCCGGACCAACATGGAGAAACCCCATCTCTACTAAAAATACAAAAATTAGCCGGGTGTGGTGGCAGGTGCCTGTAATCCCAGCTACTCGGGAGGCTGAGGCAGGAGAATCGCTTGAACCCGGGAGGCGGAGGTTGCTGTGAGCCGAGATTGCGCCATTGGACGCCAGCCTGGGCAACAAGAGTGAAACTCCATCTCAAAATAAATAAATACATACATCTATACAAGCATACATACAAATACCTGAGTCATACTCCCAGAAAATCTGACTTAATCAGCCTAGAGTAAGTCCCTAGGGAATCTGCAATGTTAATTCCCAAGCTGATTATGATAGAGGTGGGCTTGGAACCACACTTTAAGAAACAGAGCACTCAGCTCTCATGAGGGTTAGACTTTCCAATTAAATTATCACTTCAGTAGGTATATCTGACAACTTTGAAAAATAATCCACAAAGAACTCTTTTCAGTAAAATATTTGCAAAGTGTGCACCTGACAAAAAAACTTACATTCAGAATCTACAAGGAATTCAAACAACAAAAAGAACAAATAACTCCATTAAAAAGTGGGCAAAAGACATGAATAGACAATTTTCAAAAGAAGACATAGAAATGGCTCAACATCACTGATCATCAGAGAAATGCAAATTAAAACCACAATGAGATACCATCTTACTCCAGTCAGAATAGCTATTACTAAAAAGACAAAAAATAACAGATGTTGACGAGGATGCGGAGAAAACGGAATACTTACACACTGTTGGTGGGAAAATTAGTACCGCCTCTATGGAAAACAGTATGGAGATTTTGCAAAGAACTAAAAAGAGAACTACCATTTGATACAGCAATTCTACTACTGGGTATATACCCCAAAGAAAAGAAATTATATCAAAAAGAAACCTGCACTTGTATGTGTATCAGAGCACTATTCACAATAGCAGAGATACAAAATCAACCTGTGTCCAACAATGGATGACTGCATAAAGAAACTGTTGTGTGTGTATGTGTATAATTTAATTATATATTGTTAAATATCTGTTTATATACATACATACACACACATACAATTTCATTGTGTGCACATATTTACATATATAAAATGGAACACTATTGTATTCCAATACAATAGTATACATATATATTTATATAAATATGTATACATACTTGTTACACACTAGTCACACGCTAGTTTGTATTTATATAAATATATGCATACTATTGTAATGAAATACAATAGTATTCCGTTGTATTTGTAATACACACACACACACACACACACACACACACACAACGGAATACTATTCAGCCATAAAAAAGAATGAAATCATGTCTTTTGTGGTCACATGGGTGAAACTGGAGACCATTGTTTTAAGTTAAATAAGTCAGAAACAGAAATTCAAAAACCACATTTTTCACTTATAAGTGGGAGCTAAATAATATGTGCACACAGACATGGAGTGTGGAATAATAGACTGGAGTCTCAGAAGAATGGGAGGTAGGAGGGGGGTGAGACATGAGAAATCACTTAATGAGTACAATGTACCCTGGGTGATGGTTACACTAAAAGCTCAGACTTTACCACTGTACAATATATCCATGTGACAAAACTGCACTTGTACCCTATTTTTCTATTTTCTAAAAAGAAAAAATAATTTTTCTCAGTAAAATAAATGTTTCATATTAACTTTCCCACTGAAAAATGGCAGCGATTTAATGAAAAGCACCATTCAATCCCTACATATGTTCAATATCAATCAAGGCTTATCTCTTATCAGTCCCAAGGAAAAACATCTCAGGTTTCCCCTCTTTGTTAGGGGTGCGGGCCATAATCCTGAGACACACAATCCTAAAAGACCAAATCCTGAATGCTGAAACTCTGAAACATCAAAATCCCTAAAGTCTAAAATCCCTAAAATCATAATCCTAAAAGATCAAAATCTCAAAAATATAATTCTGGGGAACAAAATAATTAAAAAATATTTTAAAGACATTTATTTACATTTTTAAGGGGGATTTATTTGGGAAACATAAAAACATGGCAGAACACGTGATAGGCCACCTTATATTAATACTACAAAATAGGCAATAATAATATTAATAATATACACATTTTTGCAAGCACAAACACTCAGGTATAGTAACAATAGTTGCATGAGTATAGCAGTTGTGAGTAGATGAACCAGATTCATAAAGAAATTGGTCAAAACGTGAAATGCAAAAACATATATCACTGTGGTTGCTAATTGTGGGCACCCAGCTATATAACTGCAGTTATCTGAAATACCATGATGAATAACCTAAGTCTTTTAACAAGATTGATCACAAACTGTGACAGGTCACCACTACATATGTAGTAAGAGTCAAGATCTTGAGAAATTTCATCCTTCACAAATGCAGATGTACAAAAAGGAAATTTCTTCGTTTTTTGAGGAGGCTTCAATGTTTTTATATACAAATACAATTCTTATCCACAGAGTCAACATTGTGATAACGCAGTTTAATGGAGTCAAATTCGCAGCAAAAAAAAATGCATAAAACAAATTAGAACTCTCCAAAATTATTTACACAATTTACACCTCCAGTATTAAAAATGATGTGAAGATGAAATACATAGCATAATGAATTGTTACTATGTGTGAAGGAGCAGTAGTCGTACACGACTGAATAACTTGGCAGGGAAGGTATCTTGTAATTTTTGCTGGCATTGCCACTTTTCTATAATCTTCTAAACACTTGCTGCACTTGTATTTGGAAAGTGGTTATAGTCTACAAATTTTGTAACTATAAACTGTCCATTTGAAAGTCTGGTTATTGCTCAGCCATTGCAATTAGCGATTTTCTGCTTTGGCAGCATCAATTAATTAGCTTTTAAATTTTTATCTTTCACCATTAAGTAGCCTCATACACTTATCACAGCCTTTCTGCAAGCGGACAATTTTACAGATCTCTTCCACTGTGTTATAAGGAATATATAAGAAAAAAATGATATTCAGCTTCCTGACAGCAAATCTGTGTTACTCAGGGTTCTCCAGAGACAGAACCAATAGGGCACTTATATAGATATATGAGAGGGGATTTATTAGGGGAATTGATTCATGCAATTATGGTGGCTGAGAAGTCCCAAGACAGGTCATCTACAAGCTGGAGATTCTGGGATGCTGGTAATGGTGGCTCAGTTCACATTTGAACGCCTCAGAACCAGGGAAGACAATGGTGTAACTCTCAAGCCAAGGCCAAAAGCCTCAGGACCTGGGGCACCACTGGTATAAGTCCTGGAGTCCAAAGGGCAGCAGGCCTGGAGTTCTGATGTCCCCAGCGGCAGAAGAAAAGTCTGTCTCAGCTCTCAGAGAGACCAATTTGCCTTCTTTATTTTGTTCTCTCTAGGACCCCTGCCATTTGGATGGTATCCATTAATGTTGAGGGCAGATCTTCCCCATCTAGTTCACTCAGACTCACACTAATTTCCTCTGGAAACACCCTCACAGACACACCTAAAATAATGCTCTACCAGGTTTCTAGGTACTCCTTAATTCAGTCAAGTTAAAATCCAGTCAAAGTAAAATTAAGTCCACAAGTCTGCCCCTTGTCTACTTGGCACCCACACACATCTCTTTAAACCATACTTAATTCCAAATAAAGACAATAATAAGGTAATAGTTTTACCTAACATGATGCAACTGACACGATGTAACTATCCTTCACACAGCCAGATATACACTAATCCCTTTCCCCAGAATTTGGCTTCTTGGATTTCAGCACTCAGGATTTTAATCTTTTAGAATTGGGATTTTCAGAGTTTTAGATGTTACGGATTTTAAATGTTAAGGATCAAAAGATCCTTAGACGTTTTAATCTGTTGGAATCTCAACATTCGGGATTATGGTGTTCAGGGTTGTGTCTCTCTGGATTATGACAGGCATTGCTTTCTTAAGCCATCAGAGCAGGCAAAAATGAATTTCACCCAGGCTTTTCCTACAATATGAAAACTTGCTATAGGACTCTCCAGATCCCTTTCTTGACCAGAGACCAAATATGCTAGCACCACCATCCCTTGATTTGCAGGGCCCACTGAAGTTTTTGGTATACTACTGTGGAATTCCAGATAGTACAGTGGCTAAGATGTAGGAAATGTTTTCCATCTCTGTTAGTTTATGAATAGCCTATCTTAGAGTTATTTACATCATTCTTCAAACAAAATCTATTTTTAAACGCCCAACTGCATAACTGACTGAAATGTTCATTTTTATACAATCATATGGTAACTTACAGTACAGATCTAGAGAAGTAGCAAAATTTGGAAGTAAGAATGAACAAAAATGCTCAAGAGACATTTTAATATCTTAAAGAAAACCCCCAGAGAGGCATCTGCTAAAAACATAACATAGTTTTAAGTTCTGGGGTACCCCTCTCCCCTAAAAAAATTGGATTTCTAAATAGCTACATTTGTAAGGTCTTCCTGATTATTCCAGAGGCATTTTGTCACGTGACTCCAACATGACAAACTTATTCTTGTTATTTGCAAAAGTTATAGTGTATAAGATTGCCACAAACACTGAATTCACAAATTCTGAACCATTGCTCCTAGGGGAAATACAAGGTTAGATTCCTGTAAGCCTCTGGTTACAACATTTTCGGCAACCATTCAATACATAACCTTGCTTCATGTATGTTTTTGTTTAAAGATACCTTATTTAATATATATTGTTGATTCATTAACATTGAACTTACTGCCAACAGCGTATTTAACTCATGCTTGAACAAAGCCTACCTCACACACACAAGTTCTCCATAAGACACGTTACAGACTTCTTGCATTTAGGAATGCTGGAAAGCAGTTAAGCACTGTGTTTGAACCATTTCCAACAGCAAAACCACCAACAGAAAGCACAAAAATTGTTTATATGTGGCACTAAATAAATTCTGAAAATGACACTTGGTTACACTATAAGAGCTGAACCGAGAAGGCAGGGCATCACCTTGTTAGAGTGTTGGGCAACTCAAATTTTTCAACCCTCTGCACATGTCTGACGATGGCTGTGCAAGTGCTGTGAATATTGATTTGGAGGGTATGCTGGGCTGTTCTTGCATTGCTATAAAGAAATACTTCAGATAGGGCAACTTATAAAAAAAGAGGTTTAACTGATCCGTGGTTCTGCAGGCTGTACAGGAAGTGCAGGGGCATCTGCTTCTGGGGCACCTCCCTCAGGGAGCTTTTACTCATGGTGGAAGGTGAAGCAGAAGCAGGAACTTCACATGGCAAAAGCAGGAGCAAGGGGTGGGGAGGTGCCACACACTTTTAAACAACCATACTTCGTGAAAACTCACTATCACAAAGACACCACGAAGCCATGAGGGATCCGCCTCCATGACCCAAACACCTCCCACCGGGCCCCACCTCCAGCATTAGGGATTACAATTCAACATGGGATTTAGGTGGGGACAAATATCCAAACTATATCAAGGGGTTACAAGTAAATTTTTGCAAGTAGGTGAATTGCAAATACAAAATCAATGAATAATAAGGATCAACTATACTCTCACCATCATGGTCAATAAAGTCATACCATCAACGGGAAGTCCCTATTTTAGATTTGATACATACAGAGCAGCATTTTCTAAGGTCCTTTTTCAGTGATGTAATGCTGCAACCAAATATATTATTGTACCATAAACAGTGTTATTTGTAACATTTTCAATTATTTAAATCACTCTTGCCTTGTGACAATCAACAGTTGCTGTATTTTATTAAAAATGTATAATGTGGCCTTAATTAAGTCACATGTGTTTAGCACTCTGCAAATGTTTAAGTGCCCAGAAGATGCTATAAAACTTAACAATGATGTTAATACCCACATGAAATTGTTTAAACTGTCAAAAGGGGAGCATCTATGCCAATGTCAGAATGCCAGTCCAAAGGTTCTATTTCAAAAATGCTTAATCAAAAAATAAAATGAAATAATAAAAAAGCACATTCAAACAGACATTTGAATTAGCGGTACAGAGAAGAAATGGAGGTAGGTGACAAAGAAATAGATATCTATGACCTAAAATACAAACTCAAAAATGCTGATAAAAATTCAATCTGCAAGGTGTTGATTAGAGGTAAAAAATAAATTTAAGGCCGGGCGCAGCGGCTCACGCCTGTAATCCCAATGCTTTGGGAGGCTGAGGTGGGCGAATCATGAGGTCAAGAGATCAAGACCATGCTGGCCAACATGGTGAAACCCCATCTCTACTAAATACAAAAAAATTAGCCAGGCGTGGTGGCGCATGCCTGTAGTCCCAGGTACTCAGGAGTCTGAGGCAGGAGAATCGCTTGATCCCGGAAGGCAGAAGTTGCAGTGAACCGAGATAGAGTGCCACTGCACTCCAGCCTGGGAACAGAAGCGAGACTCCATCTCAAAAAAATAAAAAAATAATAATAAATAAATAAATTTAAAAATTTTCTTACATTAAAGTTAATCAATAAAATTATTCATGGCCAGTGAGAGTTACAATATAATTGTGACTCATAACAATTGTTATTACATTCCAGTATTCCAAACCCACCAAATACTCATAGTCAAGCTTCATGTTACATGACAAACTAATCTACACATTTTAGAATTCTACCATGTAGAATTTCTAAGATTTAGCTATTATTTAGTTCAACTTCCTCATTTTACATATTAGTGACCACCAGCTCAGTTTACAGTAATCTCAAGCTGCAGCACATTCTTGTTTGTGGTGTGTATTATATATCAAAGAAGGCAAAAATTCACAGAGAAATCCAGGAAAGACAACTGCAGAGAGGCAGTGGCTCTTTTTACATGACGTGAGGTGTGTGGTCAGGGATGAAATCAAACAAGGCCATTTGAGTGAGCACTGTAGCTCTGCTTGCTTTATGTTTTTAAGCTACTCTAAATTCTATCCTGACCATCCAAACTAAATGGGATTTTCTAAACAGGTTTATTAAGGTTTATTGGAAAAGATGTTTCTTTATTGCTGAGAGGCAACATGGAAGAATGGAAATGCGCAACCTTGCAATTCAGGCAGACCTGGTCTAAACCTCGGCACTCTGTTACTAAATATGTGATTTTAGGCAAGTCAGAAACTTGCTGAATTTGTTTTTTTATGTGCAGAAGAAGGAAATTAAATACTTACACAAAATGGTAGTGTTTTGAAAACTAAACAGCTTAAACTATAAAGAATATCTAACATAGAACTTAGTTATATACAATTACTCAACATACGATAGTTCTTTGGCCCTGGATAATGTCAAAAAATTCTGAAGTCATCATTTCAATTTCTTGGGTTAGCCCAGATGTTACCAAAAATCCAAATATGACTGTCGTTGATTTCAGAAGTCACCCAGTTCTTAATACAACCAATTTGCAGAGTAAGCAGATGGGAAGAGAAAAATGTACCTTTAAATCCTAAGTACAAAAATCAATACTTTGTCAATAAAGCCACACCATGAACAGGAGAACATATCATAATTCATGCTGACAATTTTTCCCTCTAAGTCTTTGGCACAATATACTTAGAATTCATCATACGAATTGATTTTCTAACATGACACACTGAAAAAGAAGTAAGATAGTTCGTATTACTATTTCAGTCAATAAAAATTACAAGATGACTTTAGATATTGAATGAGAAAATACTGATGATGTTAAGTAACACTCCTATAAATTGTGGCTGAAATTTTGATTCACCTTTATAACATATAGAGTCACTGTCTTCAACAGAAAGATTTTAGACTGAATTATCCTAATAATTGTGTCATCGATTAAATGCATTTGTGTAGCTACCAAGAAAGACTTGATCAAGAATGTTAGCCAATAATAATTTCCTAATGTAAGCTGCATTCTCCTTTACAACACAAAATATATCCATTCAATTGGTCTGCAATTACATCCATAGAATTTTTCTTTCTGAGATATATATAAGTAACCTCTGTGACAAATCATGTAATTTGGTCTAGACCAGAAAGAACAATACATTATAAATCAGTGTCTCATTTTGCTATAATCGCCTCCTTAAAATAGCTACAACTGGATCAATGTCTCAGATTCTGTTTTATTATACCCACATTCTTAAAAGCATCAGTGACAAAACACTAACTGACTAAGGCAGAAGAGCAGCTGGTTCCATGGCTTCATAAAAAGAATGTTCTGAAAACAGTTCAAGAATGTTTGATGCACTTCACAAGGATTCTGTTCTAAAATTTCAAAGCCACATTAAAAAGTGATAACTGCTATCTTCAGTGGAAAAGAGGAAGTCCAAAATGATAGAATTGGACCAAATGTTAGCAAAAACTATTTCTGGGTTACTTATGAATTCTTCTTTCTTCTTTCCTTCCTTCCAAATATGGCTTTCACCTGCATATTAAGTATTTAAGGACCTGGGGTTGTTTTTATTTCTTTAAGGCAGACACAGCTTTTTAATGCTTATCATCTGTATAGCATTCCAATTCACTTAGCACAACAGAGGAATGTACTGCCTAATGAAAACATAATTACTTTTATAATCAACTACTTAATAAATGTATTACTTATTTTATTTTGAGGCTGCTAATTCCATGTTCTCTTTGTCTTGTTCTTTCTTTGTCCCTACATGTTAATTACGCTTGGTTTTCTTTCCATAGTAGTCTGACTGTCATATTCATTCTGATCCAACTAGTACAAAACTATCTTACCTCACAAACATCAGGAAACAGAGATATTGAAAGACAGTGAGTATGTGGATTTTTTTTCTTTCTTCTGACTATTGGAAAAAGTCATATCTAATTCCATTTGTTTGAGGAAGCTCATTGAGCACTGAATAAGCACTGGAAGAACAGATTCAAAAACCCAGTTATAAGCTATATGTGCAACCTTTAGTAATGTGATCCACATTCCTGAGATTCAATTTATTCATCATGTAGGAGACAGGTAAGATTATAATAATACTGACATACTTCACAAAGATATTGTGAAGAATGACTAATAAACGAGGCCTTTGACATTACTATATAGTGCATGAAGCCCCATTACTCATGCTGCAGTGTTCTGCAGTGGGTAATTATAGGCTTCCAGAGGCCAAAGTACATAATGTACCATACTTAATACTGCTTGATAGGTACAACTCTGTCACCCTTTTCCATCTACTCAACAATTTCATGGTCTTCAGATCATAGCTACTGCTTCCAAACATAATACTGCACTGTTAACAAGGTCCACAACTTGAGCAACAGAAGTGCAACAGAATACTTTCAGCTTCAAATATTCTGCTTTCCTACCTATTTACTCCATACAAACTTGTTCTCAATGGTCAATCTATTGCCCCACACTATTTCTTGAAGCAGCCTTATTCAATCTTACTGCATTATCACATTATAGAAAAAATAATGGGTAGAAGCCTATGTGAACAAATTAATTTTTTCCATGGTAAAACTAAAGTAAATATTCTTCCCACATCAAAATGTCTCTTTGCATAAATAAAGGCCAAGCGTTAAAGATAAGGCTTGGGCAAGAATTCTCAATCATCTCCACTCTTCTTTTTTCTGAACTGTTTTTCTCCTTCAAGACTGTGCCTTCCCCTTTTCTAACATTATTCTCCAGAAGTAAGCCTGTTAGCAGTGTGATAGACTCTCCAACATCTACTCTACTCCTAAATGTTTAAAGTAAGCCAACTATGGCAATTTCTTCTCTGTTGACAATTGTTAATATTAGTTTCAGAAAAGAGTAGGTCTATGTCAATTTGGTTTGTTAAGGGTTTCTGGGGGAAAAAAGCTAATCCTGCTCTCTTTCTCTCTCCCCTCCCCCTGCATGTTAAGAATCAGGAAACATGTCAAAGTTGCTGCTGGCAGCCATCTTAGATAACAAAAAAACTTGCCTCAGTATAAAGCCACCAAAGAAGCACTTCCAGACTGGCAGAATAAGGACCTCCCAAAATTCACTTCTCCCTGGCAATAAGAACACCAGCAAAAATGGTCACAATCATATTTTCCAGAACTCTGGAAATTAACCAAAGGCCTGCAACAATCTGATGAATTTTTATTCAGGAAAAACAGTTGAATCTCTATAAGAACAGCAAGTTGTGGAATTTTAACTTAGCCTATTCCCATCCCGTTCTTCCCAACCTTAAATACCAGTAGCCTCAAAACCATAGAAGCTTATATTTTTCAGAGGAAAAAACACTACTGTAAATTGTGAATAGCCAATACATAACTGTATTGTACGCAAATCTGTGATTGCTGGCAGTGTCATCTCTGAGAAACAGATAAATAAAGTTTATTTACTATATTTAAAAAAAAACAAACCACAGAAGCTGTGAAACCCAGCAGTCACTGTTTGGGTCAGAACAGGTTTGGAGCTCCTCCCAAAAGCTCCATCCCAGAGACTTGTCACAGTTTGACCTGTGACAAGCTCTATTCTCAGGAATAAATTTTTGACCCCACTCAGAGATTGCTAAGTGAGAAAATACCTATCCCCAGAGTGTTTGTTAAAAACAATCAGCAGCAATTTTTTAAGATCTCAGTGGCCAGAGTCAGTGACACCAGTTAGGGCTAACAAGAGACTGACAAAAAATTGTAAGCAAAATCTGGTTAATAAGACATTCATAACAGGCTTTGAAAACCTCCAATATATTCCTGGGGGATCTAAATAGGCACTTGGATGTGCAGGGCTATGTGCCTATCCAGGGAAGATCTGAGAAGATACTCATATCTCATTTCTGATTGACCTTAAGGCAATGCACAAGCAAGAAGTGAAAGCTAAGACAGAGTTGTAAACTGCTGGAGCACTGAAGGTATGCCCCCAACAAACATACACCCACACACGAATACACACACACACACACACAGCCCCTCCACAAAGAATGGGAGACTTACTGATTCAAGAAATTTAAGGATATCTCAGTCTAACCATTAGCTGACCACTAAATTCAATGAGCAGATACTTCTGTGGCAATATATGACAAAGAGGAAAGAATTCATCCAGTAAAGTCATAAAACAAACAAACAGCAAGGTGCAGGTAAAACTCAATCTATAGGCATAGATTGTACAATTAGGGCTAAGTGTAATGTCTTGTGTGACACAGATTTTGCAGTTACATTCAGGTGTAATTTCATCTATGGTGAAGGTATTCATTATCTATTTATAGCAAAGTTATTTCTAAGAATAACCTTCTCATTGGCACAGATTGGGCAGTTAGCTCTAGGTGGAATCTCCCTGTGACACAGATTCTTCTATACTTCTCCACACCCCATAGTAATTAGGCACTGGACTGAATATACTGTAGGTGCTTAATACGTAATACTGATTTCTTATATATTGCTTATACTTTGTTGTTATTTCATTCATATTCATAAAATTAAGGATAAAAAGTTATATCCCATTGTAAAATAATAACAGCTCAAGAAACCACCAAGAAACAAACACTTAGATTTTTAAAAGTATAACTTCGGAGAAGTGATTCACTTTACAAAAGATTTCTTCACTTTTGTAATATCACTTTAAATTAGAAGCTCCCATATGCATTTAAAACATTTAATTTATAAAACTTTATGTTATACACAATTTTTCCAGAATATATTTGCCAAATAAAGGAAGATATAAGAAACCAAGATTTGTTTCCTCTAAATAAGAGCTATTTTGAATTTTCTGGTTTGCTAGGCATCAGAGGCAGCAGAACCTGACAGAGAACATTAGTCCTGAATTGAATGAAATGCAAAGCCATTCCCCAAACACCTGTAACGCCTATAGCTCATTCTTAAAAGCTCTCATAAAACTTAAGAGTACAACCACAAATGGCCACTTTTCCATTCAATACTTCAGGAAATGAATATATTATGTTCAATCTATAAGCCTGGCACAAAATTTAGTTGACTGCTAAATATTGTTTATATTTTAAAAAGTCATCCTTATCCAAGAAAACTATTTTCATTCTGAGTCTCCTCCAAAAATTAATTTCTTCTAGAAATGCCTTTTTATTTGTTGTTCTGCACACTTTAAAATATAATCTTGTTTTGAGAACATTTTTGATGCAATCTTTCTCTCCAATGACTTACATTATTTAAATATCATTTACAAACCATGTTAAAAGCTATGGATGCTGGATATGAGTCTTTATTATATCTAGTTCTCAACAGGAATTGATATGCAAAATAGCCAGACTAGACTCTTTTTGCTCCTCTAAAAAAAAATTGTTTAAGTGTACAAAAAAAATTTCTAGGAACATTGTTATACAGTTTCACATTATGTAGAATGGTCACTGAAAATGAAGGAAATACATCAAAATATCTCATAAGCATGTAAAATTAAAATCTGATTTTTAAAAATTTTAAAAATTTATACTACCAGTTAGTTGAACATGCTAAAAAGCCAAGTGATCTGAATCACTTATTTACAAGAGATAGCACTTACAATATGCCCTATTTTATAAAAACACTAGATATCATCCCAGGATCCCAGTAGCAGTACTTTTCTATCCTTCATGGGAAAGCAAGAGAGGAAACAAAAAAACATTTCTAATGTGATCTTCACGTTACAAAAAATAAGTGCTGAGGCATAACTGCTCAAATAAATGGCACAGCTAGGGAAATAGAAAGGAAGGGCAATTTGTCTCCATTCATAAGTGGAGATGAATAAAACATCTCATACACGAGGTATTTAGAAAAATTATCTTTCAGAGCTCAACATATTTTGGGGGAAAATTAGGGTCCACCCAGATGGAACTTTTCAAATGAAAAATTTACAAGGGCATAAACCTTCAACCAGGGCAGTAAAGAGAGAAATAAAAATCACATGAATAAATAAGAGAGTTGCCGTAAGGGTTATTTAAAGCCAAAATTGGCAAGTTTCCACTGGTACTAATGCACAGAATGTATACTGGTAAAGGAATGGCTTGATGGCAATCTTTTTTTTTTTTTTGCTTTAAAAAATTATTTATTTGTGTGATAAAATATGCATAATGGAAAATTTACCTTTTAACATTTTTAATTGTACAGTTCAGTGACATTAAGTATACTCATATTGTTGTACAACCATCACTACCACCCATCCACAGAACATTTTTTACCTGCAAAACTGAAACTCTGTGCCCATTAAACAATAACTGCCTGTTCTAGGCCCCCATTCCCAGCCCTTGGCAACCACTTTGTCTCTGAATTTGACTACTCTAAGTACCTCATGTAAGTAAAACAATATATTTTTTGTCCTTTTGTTCCTACCTTCTTTCACTTAACATAGTATCTTCAAGGATCATCCATGTCATAGCATGTGTCAGAATATCTTTTCTTTTTTAAGCCTATATGATAGTCCATTGTATATACATACTACATTTTGTTTATTCATCTGTCAGTGAATACTTGTGTTGCTTCTACATTTTGGCTATTGCTAATATGTTGCTGTGAACGTGGGTATACAACTATCTCTTTGAGATCCTGTTTTCATTTCCCTTGAGGTATACACCCATAAGTGGAATTGCTGGATCTTATGGTAATTCTGTTTTTAATATTTTGGTACACTTTTATTATTGGGCTTAGATTTTTTTCCTAATCAAGTTTTTTACCAAGCAGCTTTAGGGAGAGAATAGCGAAACACATACTTTTTAAGTATTGCCTCAGACTTTAGGCAGAGTTTTGGCCCATTATGATAATCTAAGTAGCACCCATGTACTGAATAAGTGAATTCAAAGAAAGGTTATGTCAGGCAACTATCTCAAAGTTTTATTATCTCTGCTTGCAATTTTTGTTCAATCATCGACCAAGTGCTTGAGGGCTTACTGCATGTGAGGCTCTGTAGACTAGTATTAATGAACTTTCCTTTTGTCCTTGCAGTACCAGGTATCACTATCATGCATTTTGGAGCTTTGATCTCAATTTTCTGCCAAATGAATGGTCCTGTGTTTTGTGCTTGTTCGTTTACAAACAGAGATCCCTCTGACCACTGTGGAACTAGAAGGTGTGTGGTCAGAGAACCATGAATGGGCTGCTCTCTGCCTCTCACAGCAGCTCTGCTTCTCCTTGGGACTACTCCTTGTTTTCCCCATTCCTAGCCCATTCTCTGTATATCCTTGGTCCAGATTCCAGAGGGTCTGCCAACTTGCACCCCATTCAGGCATCCATTACCAATATTTATGAAGCCCAGCATTTCTCTGGTACAGAGCAGGCAGTGGAAATTCCCTTTTGATGATAGATAACAGCTCCTGCATGCAGACTGGTGGGGGTAGGAGAGTAGAGGTAGCCACTTTCTGGATGGGAGTACTGTCATCAACCCGAGGGGAACCCCTTCATAGGCTAATCAGTAATTCCTGAGAGGCCCAATAAGGGCAATGACAACTACTCAAGTCAAACAGGTTTCTACTGATGGAAATCTTTGAACCAACTACTCTTAAATGCATTCCATCATTGCTAAAAGAATACGGTCATCTTTTGTTTAATGATGGGGATACATTCTGAGAACTGCATCATTAGGCAATTTTGTCATTGTGCAAACATCATAGAGTGTACTTAAACAAACCTAGATGGTATAGCCTACTATATACCTAGGCTATATAATACAGCTATACTATGTATAATAGCTATATTGTAGTAATATTATATTTATATTATAGTAATATAGTAATATTTATATTATTATATAATGTAGCTCTATTATATATGTGTGTGTATGTGTGTGTGTGTGTGTGTATATATATATATATATATATATATATATTTATTTATTTATTTATTTATATTGTATTGCTTGTAGGCTACAAACCTGTACAGCAGGTAGGCAATTGTAACACAATGGTATTTGTATGTCTCAACATAGGAAAGTTACAGTAAAAATATAGTATAAAATATTTTTTTAAGTGGTACTTGTATAAGTCACTTACCATGAATGGAGCTTGCAGGACTAGAAGTTGTTCTGGGTGAGTCAATGAGTGAGTGGTGAGTGAATGGGAAGGCCTAGGACATTACTGTACACCACTGTAGGCCTTATAAACACAGTATACTTAGACTACACTAAATTTATTTTTTAAAATTTTCTCTTCAATAATAAATTAAGCTTAGCTATTTACTTTACAAACTTCATCATGTTTTTAATTTTTTGACTGTCTTGTAATAAATCTTAGCTTATAACACAAACACATTGTACACTTCATAGACTTCCAATTTTTAAATTTTTTTGGTTTTACTTTTTAAACCATTTTGTTAAAAAACTAAAACACAAACACACACTTTAGCCAAGGCCTACTCAGGGTCAGGATGATCAACATCACTGTCTTCCACCTCCACATCTTGTCTCACTGGAAGGTCTTCAGGGGCAATGACACATACGGAGCTGTCATCTCTTGTGATAGCAATGCCTTCTTCTGGATGCCTCCTGATGTACCTGCCTAAGGCTATTTTACAGTTAAATTTTTTTTAATAAGTAGGGGAGCAGTCTAAAATAATGATAAATAGTATATCATAGTAAATATATAAACCAGTAACATAGTTGTTTATTATCATTACCAAGTATTACGTACTGTGCATAACTGTATGTGCTATACTTTTGTATGACTGGAAGTGCAGTAGGTTTGTTTACACCAGCATCACCGAAAACATGTGAGTAATGCATTGTGCCATGACATCACAACAGCTATGACATTATTAGGTGACAGTTTTTCAGCTCTATTAAAATCTATTAAAATCTGATGGGTCATATATGCAGTTTGTTACTGTTCTAAGCATTGTCATGCAGTGCAAAACTGTAATGTGGCATCCTTAAACTTTCAGGAACATACTTCTCATTAATATATGTCTAAAATCTCCCATCCTTCAAAAGCCATTACCAGGACCACCAACTCAGATGCACCTCCAGCCCTGTGCTCCATTGGCCCAAATGGTTTTCATCACTCATTGAATTCACACGTCCATTTACATCTTTCTTGCAGTATGTTAGTATTTTGCCTTTATAATCAGCAACACAGTAATATCACAGTCATGAAGAGACCCCACTGACAGAAAGACCTGAGTTCAAACGCTGATGCTGTCACTTGGGCTAGTGATTTAATATCTCTGTACTTCATCTTCTTAAGTGACCTTATAGGTCACTGAAAGAATTGAATGAAATAGTACATTTAAGTTGTCTGTCCAGGAGTCTGGGAGTTCATTAAGTTCAACAATTGTTACTGTGATCTCTTGTACACCTTTTTATCCCATATTATAGTATAAATCCTTTCAGAAACAATGGAGAGTACAAAATAATTTTTTGAGGGTATTTATTTGCTTTTCCTAAAGTCAATTTGTTATTATTTGTTAATTTGAATGGAGATTAATTCTTCCAGAACACTACACAATGCCTCTGTCATCTACTTGTTGAATTACTGTTCATTATCTTAGTATTCATCCCATCAGCCTATCAGTAGAAGAACACAGAAACAAAAGAAAGGAAGCCTTTTCTGGGATGTAAGAGGTTTTTTGTTTGGTTTAGTTTTTCCTTTTTTAATCTATAAATGCAAAGGAGTGGGCTACAGAATCTCTAAGGTGTCTTTTAATTCTCACATTCTAGAAACCTGTAATATCCATTAATGTCAAATAATTTTTCCTCTATTTTGAAGCTACTCCTTTTTAGCTTTGCCAACATTCTCCCTTAAATGCCCTCTTTCTTTCCAAAATGTCATCTAATATGGTTTGTGTTTTCTAGAGTGCCTTCTCTCTTCACTTTCACCTTCTTTGTGCAATCTTTAAAATAATAGAAACCTTGTTTTAATAATCAAGATCTATTGCTAAAAATTCTACGAAGTCATATATACACCAGGGAGGGTGGTCTGTTTTCTAGATGGTTTCTGAATACACCCTCATTAAATCACCTGGTAGCCACTTAATGGGGGAACTGTGGAGGAAACAAGTCATGTGCTAAGTCAAATCTATGAAGCATCTGTCTAGCCAAAAAAAAAAAAAAATTGCTTGAGGAATAAATGACTCAGGTGGACACCACCAGTTTTCACCTTGGCACTCTGTTAGTCCCCATGTCCTTTTTGAGCTTACAGATGGTCTTAATTAAAAACAAGTAGTTTTTAATTTACAACACAGGAAACATTTAGAATTTGTTGTAGAAGTAGAGTTAGTGGAACCTAGTAACCCCAATCTCACTCCCAGACAACTACCTCCATGACTTTAATTCATTTGTACAGATTCCTGATGTATTCATAAGTCTTTTTTATTACAAGTAAAATATACTTCTACTGCACTTTTTTTTTAAAAGTTGAAAGTCACCATATCAAGACTTGACTTTTCTCCACCCTGTGTCCTTGAGTTGTGTCAAGCTTGTAGTGGGAGCTGACTACAAAAATCAAGGGCCCTGGGTCTGGAATATTAATGGTTGATGGGCTTCACCTTTCATATGTCACATTCTCTGTGACATTAGTGTCCCGAGGCTTTGTAAAATGGAATGCTGCTTGTTTTGCACACACTTATCTTCTTGCCATCCAGCTTTTTCTACAAACGCTCTAATAGCTGCTGTTTCACATTTACATTTCCCCCGCTTCACATCATGTGTTTCAGAAACAGTCAATTCCACTAACAATTTTTCTAACAGCCTATTCTGTTCAAAAGTATTTAGCCCCATTTTTTAAAGGCAAATACTAACCTTGGAATAATGAATGTCCTTAGACTCACCTGCACTTCACTTCACTCTTTGCAATAAACACACATACCAACACTCAATTTGTCAAAGTTTTTCAAGAGGTGAGGGGATGAGGTTGAAGGTCAAATTATGAATGGTTGTTTTATGGTCTGGGAGACTGGCCAACAGTAGTGTTCTTAAGATGGAGCTTGAACTGGACAAAACTTATGGTATAATCCCAGGAGACCATAAGTCACATACTATTCCGGATGATTCTTCCCTGTTCCTTAAAACTCACATTCTATGTAAAAGGTGGCTTGATATTGACATTATTTGCATTTAGACACCAACACTTTTATAAAAATAGATAGAAGTGACTGGCTTTTTATTTCACCAAAGTTTTTTTAATTCTTTTATTTCCAGAGTTTGGGAAGTTCCTTATGCATAATAATTGTTCATTATGAACTTAGCAAATATATTTCTTTTATCTTTTATTGTATATATTTAAGGTATACAACATGATGTTTTGATATACATAAGTGATTACCACAGTCAAGTCACTTAAGACATCCATCATCTCACATAGGTATCTTGTGTGTGTATATGTATTAAGAACACCTAAAATCTACTCTTTTAGCAATTTCTAGTATAAATACAATGTTAGTAACTAAGGTTTTCATGCTGGACATTATATCTCCAGACTTCGTCATCCTACATATCTGCAACTTTATACCCTCTGACCAACATCTCCCTTGTATTTCTTTTATAAAATTTTTGAAAAGCTTTTTCTAGGTAGATTTCAGTGTTTCTAAAAACTTTCGTTTCTTAATATTAAACTATTTGAATCTTCAACTAATAGTTCTATTCATAAACTAAATACAATTTTACAATGTGGGATGGGAGAGCAAATAGGAGTTAAAAAGAGTATAACCTTCAAGTTGAGTCTTCCTCTCTGTTCGACTCCATGCATCTTCATGCTATCAGTATACACAGAAGAAATGGTTCTGTAAACTTGGAAGGAAAAGGTGTATGAACCAACTCTGCTTGTGAGATGAGAGGGGCCTTTGGAACAGCTGTAATTAAGCTAAGAGCTCTGTAGGACCAGATAGTTACTCTTTATCCTAAAAAAAATTTTTTTTTTAAATCCATACCTAAGTTGGAGGGTTCAAATTTAACTCAACTAGAGAAGAGCCACAAAGATAATTAAAGGGTTGGTAGGTAGTATCTATTAGGAAAGAATAAAGAAACTAGGATTATTCCACCTGGTGAAGGGAAGACTGATGAGTGATTTAAAAACATTCTTAACATGTTTGATCAGTTATTCCAGTGACCAGCTGTTCTCTATCTACAATGAGGACAGAACCAAAAGAAATAGCCTTAAATTCCAATATGAATAATGTAGATTAGATCTAAGAAAGATTTCTCTGAGAGTGAGATTTTTAATATTGGAATGAAATAGCCACTTTGAAGTCTTTAAATCTGACATAGATTACCATCTTCCTATAGAAGAGAGTTGTGGTGCTAATGGAAGGTCAGAGGATAAATTCTTTCATTGTCCCTTCTATACCTATAAAATCTATGTTTTTTGAGTGAGTTTCTCTTGCATCTGTTGAGCATGTAGAATTACTTGTCTCAGAAAGTACTGAAGGCAGTGAAGTTAACCATTAAAGATTAAAACAGTCTAGTAGATAAAGGTTCTTTTCTACATAGAGGATTCTCAGACCTACACAAAGCAGCTCTAGACTACAGTAAACCCCTACTTTTGTTGATCTCACAGTCATACACAAACACTGTCCTCTTTATCTATCCCGGAAGAAGTAAAGAGAAATAGAAAGAAAGAAAAAAAAAAAAGCATGGTTTTTTTCATCATGAAAAACAGCTGAAAAACAGGCATTGAATTCCCTAAGTCGAGGTAAACCGAATTCCCTAAGTCATGCACAATAGAAAAACAGTGTCTACACTGTGAATTATCTTTTTCCACTTTCCAATATTTTAGTATCCATTGACATACTAAAAAAAGCAGGATGATAATATCCTTAAATTCACAGACTATATCAAAAAAAGTGTCACTTTGTAGGCCTTCCTATGATTATGCTTCATTTAAAAGTACTCACAAGATCCCACTCTTCCCCTTCTATTACAGTAATTTGCAACAATTTTAAGCAACTTTGCAAAGTGAATAAAAAGGAGTTGAAGCATCTGCAATTCAAGGCATTTAAGTTTTAATTCACAAACTGCAGCCCTGAGAATAATTATGAGGGCCTAGTTATTTTCTGCTATGCTGCACATGAAAGGCAACCGATCACTTTTTAAAAAAATACCCAAGATGCAGTATTTTTAGAATTGTTATCATTCTTCACTTGAGTGATTCAATAACAGCAGAACTTGCACTGCAGTCCCCAAAAGAGCTTACATAACTAAACATATACAATCACAGAGGTTTAAAATTAAGTGTCTGGGTAGTGCGTTGCCTCACAGAATATTTGATGAAGGGCATGAAGCAAATCTTTTAAAATTTGCTTCCCAGAAACTCTTAATACTATGATAATATAGTGCCCAATAAATATGTGGATCTCTAGAAAAATATTTTGTGTCTTGATACCTTTATATTTATATTTTTATAATCTCTATTCAAATAGCCATAAACTAAAAGTCACTTAATACACTGGATAACTTTAAAAATCTGATTTTTAAAAGTAAACCTCCAACTTTCTCAATATGGCACTATAATTGACACAGTTAAGACAAAATTTAAGAGTTCAGCTTCTGTCATAACTTAGGAAGGGTTTAAGTGACCATATTATATACTTTATTATCTAGACCTAGATACCTTGAGAGTAAAGGAGGCCCTATTGATAATTATACCAGAATAATAAGCAAAAAACCCCAGAACTTTCCTAGGCAAACCTAGAAAATATGAACATCCTTATCATAGACCAATATGGTCCAGTTTGTTATAGCCAAATATAGGAATCTGCAAGGTCTCCAGGAACTTGGTCCTCTGGGTTGGGACTGGTATACAGGAGGTAATTAACTGGTATGAAGGTGCAGAAAGGAAGTTTATTTTGGAAGTCAAAGCATCTATCAAAAGGCCACTCCGGAGAAGTCGGCAATGGTGGAAGCCAAACTTGAAATAACAAAGGTATCCTATCATATGTGTGGAGCATGGTGATGACAGAATAAAATGCAGGAACATTTCAGAGTACCAGACAAGCAGGGAAAGAATCAGTAAGCCCTTAGAATTAAAGGGCTGAATCTAATCATCCAATCACCTATAACCATTATATGAATACCTGCTATGAACCAAAGTCTACCTTAAGCTTGGGTTCATGAGTACAGCGGCAGCTACCAACACAGGGTATCAGCTAAAAACAAACAGATGATTGTTTACAAAAACTACAGCACAACGTAAGGATTAAATCTGAAAGAAAAAGACAGAAGTCCTATGTCAAGAATCATGGAACAGGAATAGGACAGAGCTTCAGTTAATACAACTATACCCCAAAGGTAGCAGCAAAAAAACAACTCAATGATTAAAGACAGGCAAGTTCACACCACATGATAGGGATTTGTCCCAGGGATCAGGATCAGGGTTAGGCCGGCTGATGGAAGACCAGGGGCCCTTGCCCATGGGTAGGAGAGATATGCAGAGGCCAGGCCTGAAAACTAGTTTTTCAGTAGAGGAACCTCTAGTTGCTTTTTTGTTAAAAAGCAAAAAAAAAAAAAAAAAAAATTTAAAAAACATAAACAATACACAAAATGAAAACATTAACAGCAATAAGGGTACCTAAAGTAGGAAAAAAGACTTAAGCATGAAAATAGATACTATCATAGCAGATACTTCAAATTCCTAAGGCTGCTCAGATACAAGAGTTTAAAACAATGACGATTATAATGATTAATATTCAAATTGTCCTCAAGGTATTACATGTAAGTGCCAATATCTTAATATAAAATTAAGCAGAGATATAAAATGCAAATGACAAATCTATACAGTAAGCTGGTAGAGCTAGAAAACTACTAGTTCTAGCAGTAAACAAATAAAGTAAAAGTAAGCTCTAGAGACTACATCATTTTCATCTATATCAATGAAATTCTGACCTTGGATAGTCAAACAGGGTAAAGACAGTAAATGGTATTCTAATTGATGAGTGAGTACTCCACCAATTCTCAAGGAATTCTTGTTTTCTCAAAAGTGATTTGATATTTTACTGTATCAACTTTCCTATCAAGTTTATGATAATTAGTACATCTATATCTTTATCTATAAATTTAAAAAAATCTGAATAGGCATTCAACAAATCTTAAAATTTTATAAATATTTTAGAATTAAATTGTATTCCAATTTAATTATTCTAAAAAATTGACTCTACTATGATCATTTTTTTCCTGTATATGATTCTATTCTCTTTTTCTTACCTATTCTGTGTTAAACTTCTTCATTAATTTATTTATCTACTTTATAAACTTGTTAAATCATTAAGGAGGAGGCCTCTGTTCTAGGGTTTGTAAGGGACACAAGGATGAAACCAAACATGAGTCCTATCTTCAAGCTTACGTGGAAAATGCACAAAATATGCCCTGGAATGCAAGGTAGGTTCAGAAGATGAACAAATTATTTCTATATAGGAAACTTACATCTGAACTGGGATTTAAAAGGGGAATAATATAATAAAAGACCTAAAACAAAAAGGCTTGATGTTTGTGCATTTAAGAAATTTAAAGTGTTCCAGATCAGCTGGAACATAGAAAAAGGAAGTAAAGAAAGATAAGCTTGAGGCTGGGTGTGGTGGTTCATGCCTGTAATCCCAGCACTTTGGGAGGCCGAGGCGGGTGGATCACCTGAGGTCAGGAGTTCAAGACCAGCCTGGCCAACATGGTAAAACCCCATCTCCACCAAATTAGCCTGGTGTGGTTCTGTAATCTGAGCTACTCAGGAAGCTGAGTGAAGCAGGAGAATGGCTTGAACCCAGGAGGGGGAGTTTGCAGTGAGCAGAGATCGAACCACTGCACTCCAGCCTGGGCGACAGAGCAAGACTGAAAAAAAAAGGAAAGGAGGGAGGGAGGATTGAAAATGTGGAAATGAGCCCATCGTGGAAGGCTTGAATGTCAGGTAAGGAAAAGTGAAAGAAAAGAAGCCAGTTAATGCTTTTATGTAGCAAAACAGCAATTAAGACCAGCTCAAACTATTAGACAAGCCTACAGTCACTTGGGCCTGAATTAGGGAACATGTAATATTGCTTACGTACAATGCAAGGGCTTTAAAACCAATGAATGTTAGAATCATAGGAAAGGAAGACCTGGAAGAAGTTAATACTGAAAAAACAGTAAATAGATAGATAGAGGAGGAGCATATTTAGCAGATGAAGTCAGTCTTGAACATGCTAGGTGGGAAGTAAAACTAAGGCATTCTACATGGGATAACCACCAGGTAGTTAAAAACATGTGTCTTCAACTCAAAAGATCAAAACCTAAAGTAAAGATTTGAGATTCACCAGAACAGATGACACCAAGAGGAAGAATACAGAAACATAAGAGACAAGATCCAAGTAAAACATCAAAGGATGCTTTTAGCCAGCAAAGGCAAGAAACGGGTCAAGAAGGGAGAGAGATAACAGAAAGAAGAGAATCAAGAGAGCTTACTGTCATGAAAGTCAAGGGAAAGTAAGTTCACGGAAGGAGGTATAGTCAACAGAGTCAATTGCTAAAAGAGTTGAAAAGACCTGAGAAAAACCCGTATTGTCCCACAGTCAAGATAATATATGAGAATATTTTACCTTCTACGCATGCCTATATAATGTATTGCTATATAATGTAAATATATATGTATATTTACATATATATAAATGTATTGCTACGATTATAACTACTATTATTCTCTAGTCCTTAGCCAGGGTAATTTGAAACCTTTTATTCTTCACCTAGCTTATTCAGAATTATGAGTATTCAATAGAATTAATATTTCCTTTTTTAGACTCTCAAACTTTTCATCAATAAATATGCATATATTCAACTATGGTAAAGATTTATTTTACTAACAAGTGTGTCCAGAATATATCTTGATCCTAGAAGGAGGCTGAAATCTTCACTGGTTATCAGGGCAATTGTGTTGATGAAGTCCCCTGTTCCAGCCACCCATTCAACTGGCAGCAGTGAAGACAAGGAATCCAGAGCGACATTGTACTCAGCTCCATACTCTGCTTGCCTCCGCTGACACAGCATTTCAGAAGTATCCCACACAAAAAGAATCAGCATCTTCCTATTTTCATAAATGGCATGAAAATAAGCATCCATCTATCTCCACCCATGCCATGCAGTAAAGCCAAGCCAAAGCACTAGTACTTCGCAGCTGCCAGACTACTCCTCCTCTCATGCCCTGCAGGGGATCAAGTTTGTCAGACATCAGTCCAGCTCTCCGGTGAACAGCTGATTAATGAGGGGTGGGTGAAATAGCCACCAAGCAGCTGCACCATTTTTCAGGGACAAAGCATGATGGTTAATGTTGATGGAAAGATGAATGTAAGGAAACTGCAGTTAAAGTCCTTGATAAGAAGAAGCACTACTCAAGCCAGCTCCTGGCCAAAAATTTTCTGATTGCTTTTCTGACATCCCTCATATAAGGGAGACAGTCAGCTAGTGGCATACAATTAACTCCATGGTTCATGGACTTATTCAGCATATACTTAATGTAAATCCACTAGGTGCCAGACATTGTAATAAGGACTAGATATTTTATCAACTTAACTAACTTACATACATGGTAGACACTGTCCAGGAATGTCTTCTTTTGTTCAAATCTAGCCTCGCCTTTAAAAGTCCAGCTCAAATACCAGCTCCTCTAGGAAGGTTTCTCTGAGGCTCCATAGGCAAAAGTAATGACTCTTCTCTAAATTCTTACAGCACTCTATTGGGACCTCTGTTATAGAACATGATGAACATCCCACATTGTAATTCCTTATATGCGTCATCTCCTAATAGACTATAAGTAACTTGAAGCCAAGATTCATGTGATCTTCATACCTCATGTCTTTAATATATTCATATTACCCAGAACATAATGTAGTTCTTTGCATAATTAATGTATTAATGAACTACCTGCTGTCCACCTTAGCCCAACACAGTTAGATGCTTGGGGTGGGTGGGGAGGGAATCGTCTTATTCACTACAGCCAAAATCTATTTTGAAATTTAAATGGAGAGACAAAATAAACAACAACAATGTTTTTATGTGTCAGTATAATACAGTAAATAATCATAATTCCACGTCAATAAGACCGAACATAGCACACTTTGATTAAGATAGGTTTTAAATCTTTGCATCTATTAAAGAAAGGATTTACTAAAAAGAAAAAGTTACTAAATATTCATGACCTACTTAAGCTTTCTAGATGAACTGTTTTTAGGTATTTATAAAACATCAATTATACTAAAATCTTACATATTCATTGAAACAGGCCAAATAACATTCCTACTTTCCTCTATCAACAAAAGGTTGTGTTAGCAAGGAAATTGGGTAACTACTTACTTGAGATAATTCTAAAGTTATACTTACTTATAAATAATCTATATTATTATACTTTGCAAATTCACCCCCATTTGCTTCAAATGCTCTAATTTAATGAGAGAAATCTTAACATGTGGAGGATACTGAAGCACTTAAGGGCTACACTGACTAAGTAAATGAAAGATAGGAATCAAAACCCACTTTTTTTGTAGAGGAGATGGGCAACCAGTAGTACTGGCGGTATGTTATGTAGAAAGAGTAATAGCTTAAGAGTTTGAAGACCTAGATTCTAGGCCCCATGCTGGTATGATGAGCTCTTTGTCCTGGGGTAACAAATTTAAACTTTCCAGGTCTGTTCACTTTTCTAAAAATGTCAGCTTGATAGATTTGCTATAAAATAAGATAACAATAGTCTCATTATGAATTGTCTCCAAGATATATTATAGAGAATTAGTATCATCCAAACAACATAAAGGCTTTAAGGCACAAATATCTGGGGGGGGAGGTAAACTTACTAACCATATGTATTAGAGTTTTCCAGAGAAATTGAACAAGTAGGAGATACACACACACACACACACACACACACATATGGGGAGAGAGAGAGAAGGTAAAGAATTAGTTTACATGATTATGGAGGATGAGAAGTTCAAGTCCCAAGATCTACAACTGGCAAGCTGGAGAACCAAAAGGGCCAATGGTATAGTTTCGGTTCAAGTCTTAAGAACTGAGAACGAAGAGAGCCAATGGTGTGAGTTCCAGTCCAAGTCTGATCCTGAAGGTAGAAGTCTGTGCCCTAGCTTTATGACAGAGAAAGCAAATTCTCCCTTATTCTACCTTTTTGTTCTATTCAGGCCTTTCAGTGGCTTGGAAGAGGTTTTCCCATATTGGGGTGGGCAATCTACTTTACTGAATATACCAATTTAAATGTTAATCACATCCAGAAGCAGCTTCACAAACACACCCAGAATAATATTTAACCAAGTATCTGGGCACTCTGTAGATCAGTCAGGTTGACACAACACTAACCATCACAAGTTCACCCTTGTTAACCCATATACTTCCTCTTAAACCATACTTAATCTCCAATTAAAGACAATAACAAGGTTATAACTCTGCCTAACATGATACAACCATTCTGCATACAACCAAAAACACATTAATCCTTTCTGCAGAAGAGGATGTAAAGTCCTTGAGTTATGTTTATATCTTTTTCTTGATATCCCATAATTTAAATACTATGACGTAAAATTAATACTACTTAATACTATGATACGAAAGTGATACATCTTATGTTACATAATAAGGGAATAAGGGAAGAAAACAGATTTTTGCTTAATATATTTACACACACACATACACACACAAACATATTCATAACAAAATAAAGAGGAAATAGGATAACTATAATTCTTGTTTTTGTAGCTGGTCATGTGGTCATAGATGGTATTGATAACTACCTTCTTCCACCACTCATTCTGTATTCCCTTTGCCTCCAGCAATCACATTAGCTGACTATGTTTCTTTACCTGGTAGAGTGACTTAAACCTTCATTCCTGAAGGATCTAGGCTGTTAGCAGTCCTGTCTGGATTGGGTTATTATAGTTTTCCATTGACATTAATCACAGGGCATGGTAGACTAAGAGACACGCTAGGAGATCCCCTATATGCCATACACACTCCTCCTTACCTTCGTGGTAGAATAGCAGTCCAATTTCCCCTTGCTAGTCAGGGTCAGTCACCACTGCCAGCACAGTAACTCCCTTCTTTGCCTGTTGATTCAGAGGCATGAGGAATCTAAAGTGGCCAGGGAGCAATCCTAACTTTCATTTCAATGGAATCATTGTTGTGTCTCCCGATAGAAGCATTCTTCCTTTGGGAACTGAGACCTCTAGACCAGCAGAGCATAAGGTCATGGGAACAGGAAGCAAAAATTTTGCTAGTTGGTCACTAAGGGTAATAGTGAGTGATGCCAATCCCATTTTTACCTTTGATTCCTAGACCCATAAATTCTGGCTATGAAAGAAATAGCACCATATATTTAACACTGATTCAGAGGATATACAGTCTTTTAGGGAACCTTGCCTCAGCCTTGCAAGGTATTGCCACTGAAGTGGCACTGTAACTGAGGCTTCAAAAGGCCTCTCCACCACCTTTCAAGCCAGCAGCTTCAGAATGTTGGGGAACGTTGCAAGGCCAATGAAATCCATGAGCATGGGAATTTGCCCAACTTCTTTTGCTATAAAGTGAGTTCTGATCAGAAGCAATGCTGTGTGTATGCTGCTAGGGCAGATAAGACATTCTATAAGTCCATGGATGGTAGTTTAGCAAAAACATCACATATAGGGAAGGCAAATCCATATCTACAGTGTCTATTCCAGTAAGAACAAAATGCTGCCCCTTCTATGATGGAAGAGGTCCAATGAAATCAACCTGCCACCAGGTAGCTGGCTGATCACCCTGGCGAATGGCGCCATATCAGGGACTAAGTGCTGGTCTCTGCTGCTGTCAGATTGGGCACTCAGCAGTGGCTGTAGCCAGATCATCCTTTATGAGTGGAAGTCCACATTGCTGAGCCCATGTATAACCTCCATCCCTGCCACAGTGGCTACTTTATGAGCCAACTGGGTGAGAATAGGTGTGGCTGGGGCAAGTGGCTCACTGGTATCCGCAAAAAATGTCACCCTACCTACTTGATTATTAAAATCCTCTTCTGCTGAGGTCACCCTTTGGTGAGCATTCACATAAAGCACAAACATCTTCATGTTTTTTGCCCATTCAGGTGGGTCTATCCATATACCTCTTCTCCAAATTTCCTTGTCACCAACGTTCCAATCAGTTCCTTCCAAGTCCCTGACTGTCCAGAAAAATCACTGGATACAACCCATGAATCAGTACATAATCGCATGTCTGGTCATCTCTCCTTCCAAGCAAAGTTTACAACCAGGTGCACAGCTTGAACTCTGCCCACTAGGCGAGTTTCCCTTTACCACTGACCTTCAGGGGTATCCCAGAAAAGGACTATAGTGTTACTGCTGCCCACTTTCACATGGTGCCTGTGGAAACATCTGTAAAGCTGGCTCAGGTCTTTCCTCCTCTCTCAACTGATCATAGCAAACTTTCTGTGAGGCCATAGGCACAGACTGGGAGAAAGAAGTCAAGGCAGCAGGAGTTGGGATCATAAGCTTTGGGGCTGCTTCTTCGTGTAACTTACTTGTGTCTTCTCTTTCCTACTGGAAATTGAGTCATTTAGCTCTTTAAATCTAATCAAATGAGAAAGCCAATTCCAGAAACCCCATAACCAATTCAGAAAACTCAAACTAAAGATTCTGTTCCTCTAGAACCACTCTTGGTACCAAAATCTGTATTACGCAGGATTCTTCTGAGAAACAGAGCCAATATGATGATGTAAGGAGATTTATGATAAGGAATTTGTGCACATGATTATGGAGGCTGAAATGTTCCAAGATCTTCAGCCAGCAAGGTAGAGACCCAGGAGAGTTGGAAGTATAATTCCAACCTGAGTCCTAAGGCCTGAGAACCAGGAAAGCCAAAGGTATAAGCTGCAGTCCAAGTCTGAGTTGAAAGGCAGGAGAAGACCTATGCCCTAGCTTGAAGACAGGCAGGGAGAGCAAATTTTCCCTTACCCTGCCTTTTTGTTCTATTCAGGCCCACCCACATCGGGGAAGGCCACCTGCTTTACTCAGTCTATGGAATTAACTGTTTATCTCATCCAGAAACACTGTAATAGACACATCCAGAAAAACGTTTAACCAAATATTTGGGTACCATATAGCCCAGCCAAGTTGACACACAAAATTAACTATCATACCATAGTTCAAAAATTCATAAACATTTACTTTAATCTAACTTTTACTCAAAAAATCTAGGTGTTTTTTCCACCTGGAATCACTCTAAAATCCACTTTTTGACCAACACCAAATAATAGCAACGTTAGAAAAATAAAATATTTCTGTTTACAGGATTTTTAAACATTTAGGCCGGGCGCAGTGGCTCACACCTGTAATCCCAGCACTTTGGGAGGCCAAGGCGGGCGGATCACGAGGTCAGGAGATTGAGACCATCCTGGCTAACACGGTGAAACCCTGTCTCTACTAAAAATACAAAAAATTATCCCGGTGCGGTGGCGGGTGCCTGTAGTCCCAGCTACTCAGGAGGCTGAGGCAGGAGAATGGCGCGAACCCAGGAGGCAGAGCTTGCAGTGAGCCGAGATCGCACCACTGCACTCCAGCCTGGGCGACAGTGCGAGACTCCGTCTCAAGAAAAAAAAAAAAAAAAGAATTGTTTAAAGAACAAAGGAAGCAAAAACCCTGATGAATCCCACCAACAAGTTGTGGTATAGATAATTTTATGTCACCACAGCCAGAAAAGACTATGTATTGTATTTCTTAATCACTAACATAATTAAATGTGCCTTTTGCCTCAGTACTCAATTTGATTCTCAAAGCAATCCTATGAGGAAGGTAGAGTAACCTTATTACTATTATTATTGTTTATTTCATTTGCCAAAGACATTGAGGCTGAAGGGGGTTTAAATCACTTACCCCAGGTCACAAGGCTGGGAACGCTATTGAGCAGTTTCCTGTGGCCTGCGTTCACATAACAGCAACAACAGGGTGCTATGTACATGTAGGCATATGTTTATATATATATATATATATATATATATATATATATATGTATGTGTGTATATACATATACATATATATCTGTTCATGTGTAATATATTTAATACATGCCCCCTCATCTTCACCAACCCTGGATTATCAACTCCTTAAACACAGGAATGATGATGTACTCATCTTTCTGTCTCCAACAATGTTTACACAAGTGCCTTGCATATAGTAGATAGTAAGTAAATTTTGGTTAAATTGAGCTGAATTTAAAGAAATTCCTTTAATAAGCTTAACTATTACTGTGTTTTGATCAATATGCTTAAAAATAAGACACACTGCCCAGCAAAGAGATTCTGCTACATTTTTGACAGGGTTTTCAAACCAATAAATATATTAATTCTTTTAAAAGACTTCTGTATGTCTCTAGATATCTCTCCAAAAGAACAAAAAAGGAAAAAGAGAAAATAAGCATTTATCGAGCTTCTACCATGCACCAGGCACTGAGCTAAGTGCTTTCGCAGAATTGCACTAATGCAAATACAAGGCTAACGAAATCTCACCTGTCAGGGATGAATTGGAGTCACTGGGCAAGGAAAATGCTGTCTTCTATGAAGTGAAAGCTGGCAGTTGAACTATTTTTAAAAATAAGTATTCCGTTTGGGTGGGAAAATGTCTTTTCTCAATGAAAGTTTACTTGATGGGAGATCTCTGCCACTGGGGACAATATGAATATGAATTTGTAATTTATCAAAAATTCTGAACTTAGCAATAATGAAAAATTATTTTGCCCATAAAATAGTACCCTTGTAATTTTAAACTAATCTATTTCAAGGGTAACTTCATCTTATATTCCAAATTAATTTAAAAATAAAACTTAAGTCACAAAACCCAAAAAAATACCACATTGCTAAAACAAACCCAGACCCCACTGAAGTTGAAAATTTGGTGCAAAGCTCACAGGCCTTGTGGTTTGGGTGTTATCCAAATTTATTTCACCTGCTGCTCTAAAGCCATGGGTCTCCCCTATGTGGAGTGTCTCTGAATGGGAAAGAGGGTGAATATCTGCAGTTGGACAGACTACCTAGAGAATCCTTATGGAAACCCCTTCCCTCCTCGCAACTACACCATCTCCCAAATGAGAAACTGCTCATTCATTCATTCTAACAATCATTATTATGCACTAGACTCTTTTTAAAAACCTCTTTCCCTTTTCTAGTTTTCCCCTAAGCCAGAAGAAAAGTGAGAAGCTGACAGAAAAATGAAAATAGCAACAACAAATAAATTCCTCTCATTAAAACGCTTAGTAATTTCATAATATTGATGCTTTCTGACAATCTCATCTATATTTACCTCACAATGAATACTACATCTGTTATATACTCCAACAAAACTTGCTTTGAGTTTAGAATGTTTCAATTCCATTCTGCTCTTGCACCCTTAGTAAGTTAAGTAAAATGAGTATTTTACAGAAGATTTCAAGTGGCAGTCCAGAAGTCACAAATGGCATTTAGAACAGAGCATACCTAGCTCCCACATCATCTGCTCATCAATGCTAATCTCACCTCCTCCACATGTACCTGAAACCTTTCCTAAAGTAGCCACATGGAGAAACTACATGTGGATATTAACATTTTAAGCATTGGTGTGTGTGTGTGTGTGTGTGTGTGTGTGTGTGTGTTTGAGTACAAATTTAACCTAGAGAGAAGAGCAAAAGAGTTTACCATATTGTTTTAAAGTAGACTTCTGGTGCTGTGTGTCTGATACTTTGAAAAATTAAACTTGATCAATAGTTAAATGGTAAGATTTTTTTCATTCAGAAAATGTATGGACAGTTAAGTAAATTTTCTTCAGATCAAATTCACCTTGGGTGAACACGTACAGTTGCAAATAGCCTAGCCATAAGCGACCTTTAAGGCATCTTCTCAAACCAGGTACATGTCCTTCAGCAGAATGAAAGTGCACAGGGTACCAACATGGTACAGGCTCCTAACGCAGCCATTTCACATGAATATCTGAGGGGTAACTGAATTTTTGTGATCTCAAAGGGTTTTTTAATTTATTTTTTAAAAAATAAGAGTAGAAAAAGCAATCAGGGATAATGATTAAACAAGTTTTAGTTCCATGTCTTATTACTTACATTTTTCCAATTTCACAGAAGCCTCATTTCCAGACCAGTGTTTGGTTGACATAATGTTAACACTCATGGAGCTTTTGTGGCAAAACAGTGAAAATACCGGGTATTAAAAAGACCTAAGTTGACCTCTGACTTGCCACTGTCATTATAGGCGTCTTGGTAACTTCTTTTAAATCTTTAGGTCTGAGTTTCTTCCTCTGTAAAACAAGGTGGTTGTTCTAGATCATACCTAAACCTCCTTCTAGTCTATATTCTGTGATTATTTTTAATATTTTATCTTTGAGGTAACTGGAATCTAAGAAGGTTAACTGAATCAGGGAAAAGTCTTCTCTGGGTCACTTCTAATCCCCTAACAAGAACTTAACTAATTTGACCACACTGACAAGTTCCCCTTAACAATTTTATCTAGGCTCATCTATCTACAGAAAAAGGTGGTTTGTGTCATTCCATATGAGTCAGTATTTTGCTGAGATAAGTACTTTTCACAATAGTATCTGTTCAATCAAATGAAATTCCTAGCCTAATTGCTACATAAAAGATCATTATATCATTCATAACATCTGTACAAATAAAATTTCTAGATATGTAAGGGGTTTGGAAGATTTTATATTTCATATATCATGTTCCCACAACTTGTCTTCATGCTGCACTTAAGAATCCAATGTGAAGATAAATTTTCACCCTCAATCTGAAATGTAATTTCACATAAAACCAGTTTATTATTACATCTCTTTGTAGTTCTTATCTTATATTTTTAGAGTATTAACTCATTCCATGCTTAAAACAGAAAGATAATTACTGTGCTATTCATCTATGAAAGATGATCATGTACAGTTTAACATCTGGTAAGCAAAAGAAAATCATGACTACTTCTCTTAAGGTAGGCAGAGTTCCCATCAGGAAAGCAACTTGAACTAAAAAGAAATACTTGGATAGGAAGAAAAGGAACAAAAGGAGCAAATGAAACTTGTCAGGGGACTACGGTGTTCTATCTTTCCATAGACTTTTAGTGCTCATAGCAACTCTATTAGTTAGGCTGCTTCCATTTATAAACGAGTAAACCAATATCAAAGACATTGTTATTCCACAAGTAAGCATGCTGTAGTTGGAATTCGGGCCCAGTGTGGTCTCCCTCAATGAGGTTATGCTGTCTCCAGATTAAAGGTAATGGGACAGCATATGCAGTTTATGATGAAGTGGGCATGTAAAGGAAAGAGAAATTAGTCCCAGATTGAGACTTCAAAGACTGCACACTCCAGAAAAGAACTGTGAAGGAGGAATTAAGAGGAGAACCAAAATTTAACAATGGTCACCAACATGGAGAAGGAAAGAGAATTTCAAAGGAAGGATGGTGAGAAATGTTAAGCATTAGGAAGTTGGTAAAATATGAGAACACACTGACCACCTGTTAGTGATATCCCCATTAACCTAAGGAGACATCTATAAATCATCATTGATGCCTTCTTCTCCCTTACCAATTAACAGAGCCCAGTTGAGTTCCAGCCCTGCCTTTCCATCCTTCCTGCTCCCACCCAATCTCAGACTCATCATTTCACAGCTGAACAAATGTACTGGCTTGGTCTCCAGTTTGTGCCCTGGTCCATCTACACTTCATATTTTCCAGCTTAATATTCCTAAAACACTGTTTTGACCATATTACACTTCTGTGCAGAAATCAAAATGGTTTTTCACTAACCATACAGTATTCATCCATACAGTCTTTTTCACTGCCTATATGCATTTTTATATTAAAACTGAATCCCAATATTGCCCTAGTCAACCTGTGGGCTCTATGACCATTTTACTAGCTGTTTGACCTTCTGTAAGTTAATTATTCTATCTGTACCTCAGTATATCATCTGTAAAATGGGAATAAATAACAGTATGTACTTCATATAATTATTTTGAGACTAAAATACGTAAAACACTTGGAACAGTGCCTGCACTGTTCAATAAGTTCTTTAAAAATATCAGTAATCACTATCATTGTTACATTATTAAGTTTATAATAAAATAATGCAATCATAATTGCTATTGCCTTTTTGGCCAAATACTGTATAACACCTCAACATAAATGTTACTAACAATAATAATGATAGCAGTGTTGGCACCAAGATTTAAACACAAGTAATATGTCTTTAAAGTTATGCTTTTAACCACTATGCTATAATCCCATTAAAAATTATCTGATTAATGTCATTAAAATATAACTCCAAGCATTTGTTCTTGCTATTTTCTATATCTAAAGGATCCTCTCATTCTCAAATTATCAAATTCTTAAATATAATCATTAAAATTCCAGCCCAATTACTACCCCTTTTAAGACATCTTTCTTCCAGCTAAAAGTCATGGTCTAACAGTTTTGAATTCCACTTACACTTTCATTTTATGTGGCACTTATTAATTTATTGTTAGTAAATTTTAACCCACTATATTTTCATATTATGTCAAAGTTTACAAATCACTTTTAAATATATCACTCCTTATGTTTTATTTCTCTGTGTAAAGCTCCTCAGGGCAGGGACTGTGAATTACACCTCTATGCAATGTCACTCTCCCTTAGTACTGCACCTTACATAAAGGAGGCCTATAAAGATTTCTGTGCGGAGATTATTGATCCCTCACATGCAAGTAGTTTCAATAGAGCGGTTGAAAAAAGTAACCAAACTACTTTTCACAATGAGAAAAAAAATCAATGAAGGTTTTTAGATACTAAATCCCATTTTTACTTAAGAAATGGCTTTTCAACTTTAAAAGAATCAATTTTCATTTAAAATGTCTGTTGCTGCAAACTGTCACCTGTTTTTTCCAAATATATTGTTGGTACTTCTTAATCACTAGAAAAATGGGATTTCATTGCCATGGTGACTGGAAGAATAAGTCTGTAGACAGGAACTACAATTCTGTCACTGTGACTAATGGCATTTTCCTTTCCTACATCTTTATTTTGATTTGATATATAAAGCCCAAAGGCAAGGTTGATTAATTGCAATTACACAAGGCATTACCCTAGTTTTGCTGCAGTAGAAATGCCACATTACACTTCAACAGCACAGTCTTACCAAGACTTGTGGCTACCTCCAAAGATTATAATTAGAATTACCAAAAGCATCAATTTAAACATGTAATATATATTCATGTTTATATTTCTAAGTATTTACATTCACATAAACAACCTTTGATGTGTGTGCAGGCAGATAGCTACTATTTCCATTTTTTATACCTATCTCTGGCATCTATACCTTCCTCCGGCATCCCATTAAAGCAACACCAGTTTCAAAACAACAGAAAAACAGAAAGGAAAAGACATAAGCAACGTAGCCAGAGGTTGCCCTATCATCCATGCATTGCATGCTTTGCTGGAAGAGTCTTGAAAATGGTGATTTAGTTTACGACAAACAGGCGATGCAGGCGATGCAAACTCTTTCTCAAATTTTTACTGGAGAGCTAGAATTCCCATTTATGAGTCAAGGTGCAGCTGTACCAGGTATAAAGTAGAACAGGTGAAAAAACTGTCCTTAGTTTAACCCAGTTCCTTATACAAAGCTGCCTCCATTTTCTACATCAATATTTTGACGATGTTTTCTTTGCCAGATATCATATTGTAAGTTCTTTGAAGTATCTTTTTACTCAATAGGTATTGGTCAACAGCAAGCAAGAGAAGAAGTATTCTCATAATAAGCTGAGTCCTTAATTTGGAGAGAGCTACATAGAAAAGTAACAGGGAAAACACTGGGTCAAATTTTTTTTAAAAATTGGGTACAATGGGGAAGGAGTAACGATTTTGGAACTTAAACAGGAAATAAACATCTCTACTCATACAAATAACTATTATTGTTTTACTATACCTTAGCCCCCCTCCCAAAGTCTTGTCTTGAAAGTATACTGTTTGTTTGGGATTTGTTTGGTTGGTTGGTTTTTTGTTTGTTTTTTTTTGAGGCGGAGTCTCTCTGTGTCACCCAGGCTGGAGTGCAGTGGCACGATCTTGGCTCACTGCAAGCTCCGCCTCCCAGGTTCAAGCCATTCTCCTGTCTCAGTCTCCTGCGTAGCTGGGACTACAGGTGCATACCACCATGCCCAGCTAATTTTTGTATTTTTAGTAGAGACGGGGTTTCACCATGTTGGCCAGGCTGGTCTCGAATTCCTGACCTCAAGAAATCCGCATGCCTCGGCCTCCTAAAGTGCTGGGATTACAGGCGTGAGCCACCACACCTGGCCATATACTGGTTTTTGTATATAATAAAAGTTTTATATTAATTTCACAATCAGGAGGAAAAAAAACAATATTATAAAAGAAAAAAGATTTTCAAAATTTAGTTTCAGAAGAAATATCAAGATGAAAGGACTAGCCCAATTTATTTCTGTATGTAAAAGTAATCTATAGATTACAAGAATGATATAAATTATTGCTATTGTTATTACCATTTTTCAGAATAAAGCAACAAGGGATATTTCTGATAAAAACTAGGAGGTAAAAACCATAGAAGTGCTTAAGCAGCCTTACTTCAAATTATTGTATTTCAAAATATATTTCCTTGAGGTTTTATTATCTTTAGTCTTAAAATCAAAAATAGCATTCCTTACATTACACAGTTTAACTCTAGACATTATAAGTGATAATTATGTACTTAATTGAAATCAGCTTTTAAATATAAAGAAATTAGGCCAGGCACAGTAGCCCATGCCTGTAATCCCAGCACTTTGGCAGGCAAGCGGGTCACTTGAGGTCAGGAATTCAAAACCAGCCTGGTCAACATCACGAAACCTCATCTCTACTAAAAATACAAAAATTAGCCAGGTATGGTAGAGCACTCCTGTAGACCCTGCTACTTGGGAGGCTGAGACACAAGAATCGCTTGAACCTGGGTGAGTGTCAGGGAGCGGAGGTTGCAATGAGCCAAGATCGTGCCATGGCCCTCCAGCATAGGCAACAAAGTAAGATTCTGTCTCTAAAATAAATAAATGCAAAGAAATTCATTTTGTTTCCCGTTAGTAGGCAAAGTTTGTTCCCTTGAGCATCTCTGAAAGTATCTGTTATGGTGCTCCCATAGCAGATTATTATTGACTTACACGGGTAATAATAGTATAGGCAAGTAATATTTTGATATACAATAATTTCTTTTTTCTTTTTTTTTTTTGAGACAGAGTCTCGCTCTGTCACCCAGGCTGGAGTGCAGTGGCATGATCTCGGCTCACTGCGAGCTCCACCTCCCAGGTTCACGCCATTCTCCTGCCTCAGCCACCCGAGTAGCTGGGACTACAGGCGCCTGCCACCATGCCTGGCTATTTTTTTGTATTTTTAGTAGAGACGGGGTTTCACTGTGTTAGCCAGGATGGTCTCGATCTCCTGACCTCGTGATCTGCCTTTCTCGGCCTCCCAAAGTGCTGGGATTACAGGCATGAGCCACCGCGCCCGGCTGATATACAATAATTTCAATCATCCTTGTCCCACGTTGTTTCCGTTTCATTCCCCTAAAGTAGGGCACTTTTCATCAATGCAAGAATAAGTGGTTAGAGAACATGCCTTCATGGGCCAGCATCACCTTGATTTCTAACCTGTTCATTTGAGAGCATTTCTGCATCCTCCCACACATTTATTTACCTACTATATGTTTAAATGCATGAAATAATGCAAGCTCTAAAAGCCTTCTACAGGCCAGGCGCAGTGGCTCACACCTGTAATCCCAGCACTTTGGGAGGCCGAGGCGGGTGGATCATCTGGGGTCAGGAGTTCGAGACCAGCCTGGCCAACATGGCAAAACCCCGTCTCTACTAAAAATACAAAAATTAGCTGGGCATGGTGGCATGCACCTGTAGTCCCAGCTACTCGGGAGGCTGAGGCAGGAGAATCACTTGAACCTGGGAGGCGGAGGTTACAGTGAGCAGAGATCACACCACTGCACTCCAGCCTGGGCGACAGAGTTAGACTGTCTCTCAAAAAACAAAAAAAAAGCTTCCTACATTAGTCACAACCAAGTTTACCTATTAACAAAAACGTTTAGGGTAAGCATTATACTATATGTTAAGAACCATTCCTTTCAGTTCATCGGTAAAAGTTATTAATTTCAGAAGCAAAATTTCATCCACTTTGCAAAATGCATACTTATTTCTTTAGAGTTTCTTTAATAAAAGTCACAATATAGACAAAACACTGAAATAGTTACACACATTAATATCCCCAAAAATCATACAAAGTGGTTTTAAGTTAAGCACAATAGTATTTTATTAGAGAAAATAAGTTTCTGGCAATTTGTCTATCAAAACCTTTCAGGCCGAGTGCAGTGAGTCATGCCTGTAATCCCAGCACTTTGGGAGGCCGAGGTGGGTGGATCACCTAAGGTCAGGAGCTCGAGAGCAGCCTGACCAACATGGTGAAACCCCATCTTTACTAAAATACAAAAATTAGCTGGACATGGTGGTGGGCACCTGTAATTCCAACTACTCAGGAGGCTGAGGCAGCAGAATCACTTGAACCTGGGAAACTGAGGTTGCAGTGAGCCAAGATCACACCATTGCATTCCAGCCTGGGCGACAGAGCAAGACTCTGTCTCAAAACAACAACAACAACAACAACAACAAAACCTTTCAAAATAAGAGCAATATTTTAAAATTGTAAATTACGAAGTCTTTTACAATATATCATGTTGGGGAGTTGCTAGAGATATATTTTAAAAGAACACAATAGTGAGCCTTTACAGAGCAGTAGTCCTTTCACTGAATTCAGTACTAAACTGATTTTTATTATCCCAGTTAATGACAAAGGGTGGCATACTCAAAAAGCTTCAAATACTAGTAAGAAAAATAATTAAAATATTAGAAAATAAGAGTTATATGAAAGGGGAGAAATTGGATAGTGGAGGGAAACAAGGAAAACTTGGTAATGATATAAGTGTAATGAGCTCTTGATTTCACCAAGGAAAAATCAGAAATGAGTTTATATTAAAGCAGAGAAATGTAAGTTAAATATTAGAAAGAATTCCCTAAAGTTTATTGGTTTCTACAATCAATTGCCGTGGAAAACTATAGCTCTGTTCGCTTGGAAATTGCTAGGAAATTGAAGGACAGAACAATAAACTGAACGTTGTTTAAAACAAAGCCCTCTCTGCCTCGGGAATTTCATACCGTATTGCTGCCTTGCTTTCTGTCACTGAGCACTGGGCCCTCTGCTCTCTACTACTTACTTTTACTAAATACTCTTCTCTCCTACTGCCTTGAGAAGGCATTCAGCAAAATGACATAAAAGATACTGTGCTCAACCAAGAAGGAAAAACAAAACGGCACACCTCCTCAACATTCATTCATTAACACTTGCTAAATGTCCTCTATAGACCAGGCACATGAGAAACCATGAGAAGCTCTTGGCATACGATGGTGAGCAAGACAGTCGCTTCATTCATGTCACTTAGAGCCTAATGGAACAGACAAACTGTATAACAAGAAGTAACAAAAAAGGATTTTAAGTACAAATTATTTTTAAAAACAAACAAAATTCTATGAAATTCGGATTTCTGTGAAAGCATATAAGCAAGAGAACTTAAGCTTCAAAAAAGAAGAGAAGCTTAAGCTTAGAATTAAAGGCTGAAGAGGGTGAAGGCTCTCCAATAACATCTTGGGTGAAGGCCAAAAAGTTGAAAAAAGAAAACAACAGAAAATAGTGCGACCAGGAGAGGGAAGGGTGAGAGACTCAGCTAAGCACGATAATGAAAACCTCAGCCTGTTAGCCATGCTGGCATGGTTGGGTTTTATCAGGGATTGCACGGATTTCACTTTAGAAAGAACACTCTGGGTATGGCGTGGAGAACATACTGGAGAAGAGCAATAATGGAGTGGGGGAAACTCATTGGTAGCTGTTACCATCAGGCAAGGAACAATACTGGTTGGCAGAACTAAAGGAGTCACAGAAGGAACAGAGCAAAATGGACAAACTTGAGAAAATCGGGAGGAAAACAGACAGGACATGGTGAATGAAAAATTATGGGTGGTGCCAGGGAAGTCAAGAATAGTTCTCAAGTGTCTGGTGTGAACGATGAGCATCATTCACTGAGAAAAGCCTGGGCGAAGAGCAGATTCAGTGGGGAATGGGGAATGATAGATTCAGTCTGAGCCATTTTTAATTGGAGATGCCCAACTACAGATCAGGCCCACTGATCAAATTCCCCCAAGGTAATTTAAAAGGAAATCCAGCAACATGTGATATCATTGGCACTCCCTGGTTTACAAGTATCTTCAGCAATCCCACTCATTCCCACCAATAAGGACCATGTGGTTTTGACTCTAATGTTAAATAATTAATTACTTTCATTATATTTTATAAAGATCAACATCACCTTTCTTGAAGGAAGGAAATGTTTTCCAACTTAGAAACACAGCCTTGCTAAAAGAAAGGTTAATTTCTTTTAGCATAATTTCTAGTTAATCTATTTATAATGCCTTTTTTTGTATAAAGAAAATGGAAAGTAAGTTCAGGTCCAAGTTCATGAATCATGATCTTGTTCAGACATATTTGACATTTCCAATTTTAGCCATGTCACTAAGATGGAAAAATTCATGATTTAGTAAGCTGAGCAAAGTTCACTGATCATCCAGTATTTAATTAGAAAATCCTCAAGTTTTCAGGGCAAACCGTGAGCTATATCTGTTTTAACTCTCCTATTCTATTAACCTATCTGTTAACATTCGGGAGCTGAAACACTGCACAGTATTCAGCATGAGCTACAGCTTTGAATTAATGATCACATAGTCAACAAATACTCCACACTGAAGGCCAAAGGACAATTTAAACAGCATTACTTCCTCCAAACAAATCAACTATGCTTTCTCTTTAGTATCTCTTTTCAATTAACAGTAACATTTTCCTTATACTTTTTCCATTAAACTAAAGTTATAATTGAGGCAATAAATATCTATTCTTGCATGTGTTTTCTTACAGTAATAACAGTACGTGTGTGTGTGTGTGTGTGTGTGTGTGTGTGTGTGTGTGTGTGTGTGTGTTAAACAGGAGCAGGAAGTGTTTGTGTTTCTATGTCATTTGAACTATATAAAGAATTCAAGATACCATAACTTGAGAATCCCAGTGATGTCAGGACTCTCCTGAACAGCCATTGTTGCGGTCCTGTGCTGCACACCACCAGACCTTCCTAAATGTTACTTTCAAATCGTTAATCTGCTTTCTCTCATTATCTGCCTGCTAAATGGTAATTTAAAACAGGCAACATTAAGAGGATAAGCACTCAGAAAAGCAACCTAACAAAATGGAAAGAATGTAACAAATTTTACTGGTGTACATTTTTTAAGCAGTAGAAACTACTACCAAGTCATGACAGCATGCAGCCCTTTCTTTGGATTCCTCTCAGATTAACCTAGAGCTTTTCCATAGCCCTTCTCTTTTCTCAGGTACTTTTCTTCCTGCTACCAATACTACCTCCAAACATTTCCTGTGTTAAAGTTTTTTTTAAAACAGGTCGACTCTTGAGGACTAACAGGTGTAACCGTTAAAGAGTTAAAAGCTTGAACTTGAATAAGACATAGCTAACTTCTGCTACTTAAAAGTTACATGACACATGAAAAGTTTTTTAACTTCTTTAGGGCTCATTTATCCTGTCTATTAAATCGGGATAACAGGTTGTTGTAAAAATTAACTAAGATAATACATGAAAAAGATGTTAAAACAGTGCTTGGTAGTCAGAATAATGAATGTCAGCTATTATTTTTATAATTTGCTTGGCAGGCTATGGATGAACAGCTGAGGAAGTGGACAAGCTACAATTATTCTCTGGAAACGATGAGGTGAAGATGAATGACCTTCAGAAATCTTCACATGACAATGGAGCGATTTGAAGAAGGAATGCCAATATCAATCTCATGCCTTAAGCAGTGTAACAGAATGTTCTAAAGGCTCCATTGACCCTAAAATATACTTTGTGGATTGTTTATGTTGTTGGCACTAAACCTATAAAGATATGGGGGGCTGGGGAGGATGTACTAATAATCTAGGACAGGCTTTCATAAATAAATGGTTGCCTCCTGACCAGTCGGCATGACCTCAGTTTGTAATGTTTACATCCATTACTACGACCAAAAAAAAAAAAAGTATTCATTGTAGGAAGAGAAGATAAAGATTACTCTCAACCATAGAAAGTGACATGAAAACGTGGATACAAATCTTTTTTCTGTACATTTGAATTACATATTTTCTTCAAGCAAAAACCAAGTAGCAATTATAGTTATAAACTGAACCCATGACTTTTGTGCTGTTAGCTTTTTTGGGACTCCTCTGGGAGCCTTTGCTATTGCACTCCAAGTTATTCTGCTTTATGTCTTAATCAGATTAAACTGCATCACTTGAATCTGAGATCATCCTAAATCTGCCTGCTAAATGGCAATTTAAAACAGGCAACATTAAGAGAATAAGCACTCAGAAAATCAACCAAAGAAAACAGAAAGAATGTAACAAATTTTACTGGTGTGCATTTTTTTAAGCAATAGAAACTGCAACCAAGTCATGTCAGCATGCAGCCCTTTCTCTGGTAGAGAGGCTAATGAACCCAAATGCTAACCTATAGCTCTCTTAAAACCAGATAGGAAAAGTCCACTGAGTTTTCTGTGGGTTTATGAAAAATGATATAAATATGGTATCAGAAACTCTCATTCATTGAGCACTAGTGACAAATAATACTGCAAATTCTCATTCCCATAACTGGCAAAATTTAGAAAGCCCAATAAATCAGGTTAAATCCTGTATTTACCTGTTATTTGAATAAAAGCTTTCTAAAGTCATGGTACACAAAAAACATTTTCAATCCAAAACATTAAATGTTCTCTCCTATTCAATTGTATTTCTAAAGATCCAGAAATCTAAAAAAGAAAAACAAACCAAAGAAACTAGAAAATAACCCAATTAAAAGAAAATCTTCAATGTCTCCCATCAAACTAAATGCATTTCCATTGTAAGTTTTTAGTGTTATAATCAAATAATATACTTTAACTCTTCAGTTTCTTCTTTAGTTAGTATAGTATATCTCCTTTATGGATAACATCGTACATGTTGAATCATCCCTAATCCAAAAATCTGAAATCTGAAGAGCTCCAAAATCCACAACTTTTTGAGTACCAACATGATGTCCAAAAGAAACACTCTGGAGCATTTCAGATTTTGGATTTTCCAGATTAGGGAATCTCAACTGTAAGTATATAATGCAAATATTTCTAACTTAAAAAAAAATCTAAAATCTGAAATACTTCAGGTCCCAAGCATCTCAGATAAGAGATACTTGACCTACATAAAACAGTCTAAAAGAGCTTTAATCAAATCTGACTTCATCTGACGTTTGGATCTAGTCTATATTGTCTTTCCTTAGTCATGACATACATCAGTCAAGATCGCTTCATTATTACAAAAAAAAATTTGCATTGTAGGAGAAATAATTTGGAGAGAAATCTAAAACTTTAAAATGTCAAGCTAAATTAACCATAAAATCTGCACTGCAAGTAAGTCATTTTACTGATTGAAAACTCACATTTGAACATGTTAAAATGAGGTGTGAATATCTGCAATATATTATAAAGAGCACATTGTTTTATCAAAGCACAATTACTTTTGTCACAGGTAATAGCATAGGCATTAAGAAATTTGGGCGACTGAAGAATGTCTGCAATAATCTGAACATTTTCCTTTTTCTTTGTTTTGCTTTCTTTTCAGGAGACTATTAAAATTAGATAAGCATTTATGTCTATTTTTTCATGATTCTTGTATCCATTTGATGCTGTAAATTCCTGTTGTTGTGAGGTGAGAAAATGACGACCACTGCCCAAGTTTATAAAGGATATGGAACACAGCTACTTGCATGCATAGGACAACCTCTAGAGAAACACACAAGTTATCAGTTACTGTGATTTCTTCTGGGTAGATGAGCAGTTTGGCTTAGGGGTGGGTAGGACCTCTTTTACCTTTCTGTTCCTGTACAATGAACCTGTGTAAACCTTTTAAAAACAACAAAATATTCTAAAATTAAATATATAGAGCCAAAGACACGTGCAAATTTAAAACTATCATTTATGAAAAAGATTACATGTCAATCACGATAACCTAATATGTATAAACCAGAAGTAATTTCTAAAGAAGATTTCTTCCACTGCTCAAAGGAAACAAATCGAGATGCCTTGAGGCACAGCAAAGCTAGCCCCAACGGTGTGAGCTGGCTCAACAGAAGAACAAGCTGCCTAGCTAGTGAGACCAAAGGCTCCCTCATTCTAAGGAGATCACTTTCTCAACCAGGAGGCTTCCGGTAGCTCCCTCCGTCATGGTTACCTCACTGTTACCATCCTTCCACCCATCCCTATAAAGATGCAAATTCTTTTTCTTTTTTTTTTTATACTTTAAGTTTTAGGGTACATGTGCACATTGTGCAGGTTAGTTACATACGTATGCATGTGCCATGCTGGTGTGCTGCACCCACTAACTCGTCATCTAGCATTAGGTATATCTCCCAATGCTATCCCTCCCCCCTCCCCCCACCCCACAACAGTCCCCAGAGTGTGATGTTCCCCTTCCTGTGTCTATGTGATCTCATTGTTCAATTCCCACCTATGAGTGAGAATATGCGGTGTTTGGTTTTTTGTTCTTGCGATAGTTCACTGAGAATGATGGTTTCCAATTTCATCCATGTCCCTACAAAGGACATGAACGCATTATTTTTTATGGCTGCATAGTATTCCATGGTGTATATATGCCACATTTTCTTAATCCAGTCTATCATTGTTGGACATTTGGGTTGGTTCCAAGTCTTTGCTATTGTGAATAATGCCGCAATAAACATACGTGTGCATGTGTCTTTATAGCAGCATGATTTATAGTCCTTTGGGTATATACCCAGTAATGGGATGGCTGGGTCAAATGGTATTTCTAGTTCTAGATCCCTGAGGAATCGCCACACTGACTTCCACAATGGTTGAACTAGTTTACAGTCCTACCAACAGTGTAAAAGTGTTCCTATTTCTCCACATCCTCTCCAGCACCTGTTGTTTCCTGACTTTTTAATGATTGCCATTCTAACTGGTGTGAGATGGTATCTCATTGTGGTTTTGATTTGCATTTCTCTGATGGCCAGTGACGGTGAACATTTTTTCATGTGTTTTTTGGCTGCATAAATGTCTTCTTTCTGATACCAAAGCCGGGCAGAGACACAACCAAAAAAGAGAATTTTAGACCAATATCCTTGATGAACATTGATGCAAAATTCCTCAATAAAATACTGGCAAACCGAATCCAGCAGCACGTCAAAAAGCTTATCCACCATGATCAAGTGGGCTTCATCCCTGGGATGCAAGGCTGGTTCAATACACACAAATCAATAAATGTAATCCAGCATATAAACAGAGCCAAAGACAAAAACCACATGATTATCTCAATAGATGCAGAAAAGGCCTTTGACAAAATTCAACAACCTTTCATGCTAAAAACTCTCAATAAATTAGGTATTGATGGGACATATTTCAAAATAATAAGAGCTATCTATGACAAACCCACAGCCAATATCATACTGAATGGGCAAAAACTGGAAGCATTCCCTTTAAAAACTGGCACAAGACAGGGATGCCCTCTCTCACCACTCCTATTCAACATAGTGTTGGAAGTTCTGGCCAGGGCAATTAGGCAGGAGAAGGAAATAAAGGGTATTCAATTAGGAAAAGAGGAAGTCAAATTGTCCCTGTTTGCAGATGACATGACTGTATATCTAGAAAAACCCATTGTCTCAGCCCAAAATCTCCTTAAGCTGATAAGCAACTTCAGCAAAATCTCAGGATACAAAATCAATGTGCAAAAATCACAAGCATTCCTATACACCAACAGCAGACAAACAGAGAGCCAAATCATGAGTGAACTCCCATTCACAACTGCTTCAAAGAGAATAAAATACCTAGGAATCCAACTTACAAGGGATGTGAAAGATGCAAATTCTTAAAGGGCAGGTCCTTCTCCTAGAGCCTGCTCCTGGAGAATACAGTCTAGCACTGCTTCACGACATCTCAAGGATTTTGGCACACTTGGTTACTTCTCCACTCTTGAGTTCCTCAGTTACTCTGATCTCATATTTTACCACGTGACACTAACAGTATATGGAACCAAGCCCCTTTTGCACAGAACTAAACCCATTTATTTACTCAGTAAATATTTTTTGAGACTATACTATGTGTCAGGTCCTGTGTTAGGCACCTGGAAAACCTATGGCATATAATTACTTCAATAAAAATTAGAATCTAAAGATCATAATTATCTAATATCTTGCCAGCATAATTACTATAACTCACTTATTGAATCCCCTCCTATGGGCCAGCATTGTGCTAGAATGCCTACTATGCATTATTTCTAATTCTTAACAGATATTAGCCTTTCAGTTTTATGGATCAGGAAACTGAGACTGGAAGGATTTTAGTAATTTGCCAAGCCCAGAGAGTGGGTAAATAGCTGAGCCAGAATTAGGGCCAGGTCTGTCTGGTTCCAAAGCCTGAGCCCCTTCCACTGGCTACACCACTGCTGCCTCAATGGAAAATAATCAAGATTCTTTTTGCATCAGTTTTGAATATAATGCTATTTTTCTTTTTTATTATTATTGTTACACAAAAATACTTAGCTGCAAATTTCCTAGTAATGTAGAAAAGCAAAACTAAAATGTAAATTTAATGAAGGTCAATAAAATAAGGTTCTTGGTTAAAGGAAGCTGGAAGAGAAAATGCCCAATTTTATAGTGTACTAAATTCTACTTCACCTAGCTGAAAACTATATTACATATTTCCTTTGGCCTTCTTTTCTCTTTGACCTTAAATAAGCAGCTAATAAAGAGAATAAATAGTCTTTCCCTTGGTAAAATAAATTAGGTGAATATGGTTCTTTCACTTAGGTGATGAAGCACTCCCAGAAGACCAACTATGTCAACATCCACCCTGTCTTCACAGTAATGTGAAAATCCTATCTACCATCTTGGATTTGCTCTTTGGAGGCCTAAATTTTCAAAGCCTCTGTAATTCATTATATTAAATGTTATTGAGTGTCAGTCACCTGCTATGAACTATGCAGAAGAGAAATTTGCCCAGCATCTTTCCAGGGAGTTCTTTACATCAAAAACTTCAACCCTGAACACCACAGTGATTTTTCATACCAATGATTTCCTTCTTACTTCAAATTTTAAGATGGGGGTTAAGAACCTGAGGAAAAAAGTGTATAATTTTATAGTATCACACTAAACTTTTTCAAAGAATTTGCAGGAAAAAATTCCTCTCAGAATTCTAACAATGTTTTTATTGTAAGTGGTATTTTCAGTAAATTCTCATTCAACTTGTTATAAAGTGCATTTTTGTAAATTTTTTTAAAGTTAAAAATCAAGGGTGGGCATGGTGGCTCATGCCTGTAATCCTAGCACTTTGGGAGGCTGAGGCAGGTGGATCACTTGAGCCTAGGAGTTCGAGACCAGCCTGGGCAACATGAAACCCCATCTCTACAAAAAATACAAAAATTAACCAGTCATGGTGGTGTGTACCTGTAGTTCCTGCTACTCAGGAGGCTGAGGTGGAAGAGTCACCTGAGCCCGAGAGGTCAAGGCTGCGATGAGCCATGATCACCACAGCACTCTAGCCTGGGCAACACAGTGAGACCCTGTCTCAAAAATAAATAAAATAAAAATCAAAGTTATATCTCTTTTCAGTTATATTACAACAAAATCATAGAGGAGAATGAAATTGTTCATTGATGTGTGCCACACTGTGTAAATGAACTGCCACTTGCTACATGCCATTATCTAAATATACCAACTTGTTACTGCCCTTTCAGAGCCAAATTTTAAAGCAGGAATACATGCTGGAAATCATTTAATCCAATTCCCTCATGTAATGGGTATAGAACAGAGGGAATTATGAGAGTATTAGCTAAGATTAGCCAAATAATCTCCTTTGTAATATGTGTTCACTGGTGTTTGTATTCATTTCCCAACTGTTCATAAAGTTCTTTGAAAGCAGAGTTTTTCCATCAAATGGAAGTTAAGTATGTACTATGGACAAGGCACTGTGGGAGTTAGAGAGGCCCAGAAATTAAATAATTGAGATGCAAAGTGGTATTACTATAAAGAGCAATGGATCAAGGCCTAATAGAGCTTCCAACCATGCTTGGAAGATTTGCAGGGAGCGTTATCATCTGAACTGACATTTGAGCATGTCATGAAGTATGGGTAGGCATTTACCAGGCAGAGAATGAGAGTGCTGAACATTCCAGGCAGGGGAGACAAAGTCACACAACAGGAATACAGCAGGTCTGAGGGAGTGAAGGCCTCCATGGCTGGGTATTAAGTACGGTGTCAAGTGAGACAGAAAAGGAAAGTTAGGGTCAATTTGGCTTCATCCAAAAAGCAATGGTGAAGGAATGGAGGTATTTAAGCATTATATAACATTTGCATTTTAGAAATACCCCAATATATGCCCCATGAAAAATCAACTGGGGAAGGGAGGATGGGAAAGGGGAAGGAGGGTATATGAACTAAAGACAAAAGGGATGAAAAGAGGTCCGATGCCACAAATAGTGTTACTTTCTTTGTAATCCACTATAGCCATAGGCTCACTAAGATACTTCATTCTTACCAGATTCTCAATTGATTAAAAAAGCAAAGATTATAGTAATTGTCCTCATTACTAAGTAGAAATCTTCCAATAAAAAGTAATGAGATTTTTTATTTAAAATTAATCGTGTAAAAAATATATCCCCAATTGTTTATTAAACTAGATGCTAATAATTGAACATTTTAATGTACCTGAAATTGCTAAGTGCCATGCAGAGTCTTATACAGTCCTATAGAAGGAGCAAACTGGCACTGAACTACATCAGTAAATTAGGTTGTTCAATAATCGTTAATACACAGAAAAGTAATATAACCTTTATATTTCTTGTTTATTAGAAAACGATAAAATGCCAACTTGTCAAAACAATATGTTCTCATATGATTATTACTTCTGAATAGATATAATTAGTTGGTTGAAAGCAATTATATTTGACCCAGTGGTTTCCAATATTATCAAAAGTACTAAAGACCACCTTTCTCAGTTCAACAGCAATCCTATTTTAAGGCTAATAATCACTCTGTGCATCAGCAGAAAAACCATCCTTATAATTAGAAAAATAAGACACTAACACCTCCACCTTGGGCAAAGAGCCTTACCCCTGAGCCTCAGTTTTCTTATATGCAAATTGCGATAGTAATGCCTGTCAGACCTACTGTCCAAGTTATTGCTTGGAATTAAATAAGACAATTAATATGAGATCAATTATAAACTGTAAAAAAAATGAAAACAAATTAAGGAATCTTTTAAATACACCAAGTTGTTACTGCCCTTTCATAGCCAAATTTTAAAGCAGGAATACTTGTTGGAAATCATTTAATCCAATTCCCTCATGTAATGGGTATAGGTGGCAAAAAACGGAACTATTAATCCTCTTTCCTCAGAATTCAGAGCACACACTGTTGGTATCACTCACTTGAAAATCAATCTTGGATGGTGTCATATTCCTTTGTATATACATTGCATCATTTTGAATTTTTCAAAGTATCTTTTATTTTCCTTTCAATCAAATGTTCTATTTACATTTTCAATTAAAAAAATGATAATCAAAAGTTCAAAGTCTATTCTTCCAATTCTCTAATTAAACATACCCTAATTTTCTGTGTACAAATTACTTTCATCACAAATTTCTAAGCCATAAGGATGGACATAACAAAAACAGATGAAAAGAAAAACATATCATTTTATAAGATTCTAATAAATCAGCAGCTATTCTTTTTAGCTTTAGACTGGTTTACAGAAAGAGAAATGATTTCCTCAGATTAGTTAACAACTATGGAAAGATTATTTATTTCCATATAATGAATAGCTAATAAAGAGTCTTCCATCTAATATTTTATATTAACATTGTTGAATATCTGGAACATATGCCAAAATATCCCAAAGAAAAGAGATAAACACTTTAAAATGCTAAAAATTATCTTGCCAATTACTTTTTGTTAAAACAAATAATTTAAGAATTCATAGAAATATGCACAGCTATCTTTTTCTTTTTAAAATTAAACTAAGTACTTAAGACCCCTGAAAATATTAATTGGAAAATGACATTTTATATATAACTAAAAAATTACAAAATTCAGCAAGTTAAACTGGCACAATGGATATTTAATAGCCTGGTACGAAACATATGTCTATAATACAAATTGTCTAGGAATATTACACTGTGAATCTTCTTATATAACACACGAATAATTAACTCTCTCTATGAAAATTTTCAGTGTGTGTCGGCACAGTAAAACCATTGATCATATATTACTGCAAATAATTGAGACCCAGAGTTTTTGGTTATTGAACTTCCCTTTCATTGTATTTAAAATACAAAATTAGTTTTTACACAGAAGGTACATGTATACACAATGGCCCTCTTTGTGAAGCCAATGTTTTATTAAAACCCCTTTTTGTCACTCTACAAAAGGGCACTCTAAGCCTACCAACAAAACAGCTGAAAAGAACAGCAGCAATGAGTAAATGTCCCCCCGCTGGGTCTACAAAATTGTATGTTCCCCTCATGAAGAAGGCGTGCATGTAGCATGGCTGGGAAGCAAGTGCTGGGTCTATTGTGTATTGTGTATGATCTCAAGTAGAGAAAACCATCTGTCCTTTTGCCCTGAAAAAGGACCCCCTGTGAGCCTCTTCTCACGAGCCATTATAGTTTCCTTCAACCCTGACACTAAACAGGCTTTGAACTGACGGCTATGTGACATAAAAAGTTCATCTCTAGCTATTTTTCCCCAGAGGTTTCATAGGGTTTAGGCTAAGGTGCCCAATCATGTCCTAACAAAAAGATTAGTGTGTCCCAGCATAAAGTGACACAGAGATGTGTGACCCACTTGCCATACAGAATAGAGAACAGTGAATGTAGTCAACTACAGAATATGCAAAGGCGCCTGAGGGAAAAGAAATGAGGATGGCTGAGGGCTTCTGTCTTCACTTGGAAACAAGTGCTCTTTAATGCCAACAAGCATTCTCTCAAAGAGTTGTAATGATCCTGTCTCCTTCACTCTTTCTCCAAGAAATATTCATAGAAACGACTATTCCTATTTGACCCCAGGCAAACTTAAAACTGGAGTGCAACATTAGGCTTCTCTCTGTAAAGTTTTTTTTAGAAGGCAATCACTTGGTAAGGTTGTTGAATTGTCACAGTCCCTAGGGTTTGTCTAGCTACCACCCTGATGCCAAAATGGCAAGAGGCCTTCTACAGCATTTTCAGAGAAAGTCATGTGAGCATTTTCCTTCCTCACAACCTCCCTCCACCACCCTTGCTTCTCAATCCACTGGGCAAACACCTACCCATTATTCAGTGTTGAACTCAAAGACAACCTTTTCTGTAGACTTCCCTGCTCACTCTTCTCCTCCATATATACTGCTGTCATAGAACTGATAACATTTAATTATCATTACATGTTCTTACTGGATGATAAACCCTCAAGGATAAAGATTGTCTTATTTCTTGGCCAGGCGCAGTGGCTTATGCCTATAATCCCAGCACTTTGGGAGGCTGAGGCGGGTGGATCACCTGAGGTCAGGAGATCAAGACCATCCTGGCTAACATGGTGAAACCTCATCTCTACTAAAACTACAAAAAATTAGCCGGGCATGGTGATGGGTGCCTGTAATCCCAGCTACTCAGGAGGCTGAGGCAGGAGAATCACTTGAACCCAGGAGGCGGAGGTTGCAGTGAGCCGAGATCGCGCCACTGCACTCCAGCCTGGGAGACAGAGCAAGACTCTGTCTCAAAAAAAAAAAAAAAAAATTGTCTTATTTTTTACACATCTAACACAGTACTTGCCATAGTAGGTGCTTAATAACTATTTATAGTATAATTCTTTGGGGGGAAATCTTACAAAACTGGGTTTTATTCAACTTACTGAGCAGAAGAGAGCACCACCTTGAAGAAGCCTTAGCAGGATCTCCAACAGGGTAGAAGAGGTTAGGGAAGGAAACATTCAGGGTTTTAGCGGCTGGTGTCAGTCATAGAGTAGTTTCAGGGTAATCAGTTTCAGTTAGTCAGTGTGGTCTAGGCAGGAATTGCTCTGTACTGCAATTCTTGAATTCTCTCAATGATGGCGAGCCCACCACATGAAAAGAAAGCCATTTTTAAACAACCTTGTTAGATGGGAAAAAATTCTCTTATTTTCAACAGAAATGTGCTCCCTGTTCATTTCCACTCCGGGACCCAAGTTCTGCCCTGTAGTAGAAATAGCCCACCACACACTGGAAGACAACCACCACGCTTTCCTTAACATCACTACCACCAACCACTTCTAGCTCTTGTCCTTTGCAAGCTAAATGTTTCCATTCTCTTCTGCTGTTATTCCTACAAGATAAATTTTAGATGCTTTCATATTCATTGCTCCCGCCTGGAACTGCTCTAGTTTGTAACCACTTCTTTCTAAACAAAACAAAATACTGCATGCATGATTCAAATTGTGCATCATGTAATAGAACTACTATTTACTTTGCTCCAGGAACAATATTGTTATTAATATTGCATTAATTATTCCCCCTTAGCCTTCTCCTTGTATCCCTCTCTCCATGCTTCTAAAAGGGATGATTAAAAACTTCAATAGAATTTAGGAACTCTGTTTCCTCAATGACCAGGTATTTAACCAAACAGAGAGAAACTTGTGTATAAAGTCCATTATTATCCATATATTCATACTAATTTAGAGCTTTTGTTAAAAGTCACAGATTACAAGCAGTTGCTTCAAGTAATTAGCCTGGTTGAAAGACAGAAAGCAAGAGTGGGGCTAGGGTGGGAGCTGGAGAGTGGGGGAGGAAAAATCTTAACTGAATTCTTCAGTTTTGAAACAGATTTTTTAAAAATTTTCTCTTCTGAAAGTATCTAGCAACTAAATTAGATTTGTCCTATATGAAAATATCAGAACAACGTCCCCAGACAACCTGTATTTTCATACACTTCAAACAACAAATAAGAGTCTTTGTTGAAAATACCAACACATAAATCACAGAAAAATTTCACTTAATAGTAAATACCCTGGGAATCTTCCAGAGAACTTAGATTATATAGGATTTCTATGTATCCATTTCTGATTCTACAGTCCAATATTTGAGTTTTCTGGCCCAATTAATACATTTTATTATTATGTTACACCATGACTTGCATGTAAATATAATTTCCCATTTCTAGAACTGCAAACAAAATGTGCTATTATTGGCCGGACATGGTGGCTCAAGCCTCTAATCCCAGCACTTTGGGAGGCCGAGGCAGGTGGATCACCAGGTCAGGAGATCAAGACCATCCTGGCTAACATGGTGAAACCCCATCTCTACTAAAAATTCAAAAAATTAGCCAGGCATGGTGGCACATACCTGTAGTCCCAGTTACTCAGGAGGCTGAGGCAGAAGAATCGCTTGAACCCAGGAGGCGGAGGTTGCAGCGAGCCGAGATCACACCACTGCACTCCAGCCTGGGCAACAGAGCGAGACTCCATCTCAAAAAAAAAAAAGAAGTGCTATTACTTTAATGAGCTTGAGCTGAATCAGCATATCTATTCAGGTCACCTCTCTACAGCACAGAAATAGAATTTGATCTATATAATTTCAAATCCAACATAATCTACTTGTCAGAGAACACGCAGCTATGTAGCTTTATAAATGTTCAGTGATTATATCCTTTGTCTGGCATTCATATTTCTTATATGTTGAAATGGTATCTTACAAAAAGAAATATTTGGCAGTTTCATCAAAGAAAAAGCCTGGATGCCTTAAATTATTAATTTGTATTGAATTTAGTCCTATAATTTTTTGGAAAATGTTTTATATGTTTTTCCTAAGAAAGTTACATTTGTAGAGCTGAAGGTCCGTTGGCCAGCTCCTTGAGTATTCTGAAAAACTAAATATACTATCAAATATATATGAAATGTATTCTTATGAAAATTTACAATACAATACACTGAGTACTTAGGCCTGGCTAATTGCAGGAAATTGCCTCCTGTTAATGACGTAGTTAAAACAAGAATATTGTCCCCATGTAACACCTTCTAGTTTCAATTCTGTTTATAAAGAATTTGGTGACTCGGCATAATGTTCACTTCCCTTAAAGGACTCTCTCTTCACAAATGATTCATTTTTAAGAAAAGCTTCTTAGTCCTTTAGGCTGTTCTAACAAAAATATCAAAAACTAGGTAGCTTATAAAATTAACTTTTATTTCTCACAGTTCTGGAGGCTGGGAAGTTGAAAATCAAGGTGGCAGCAGATTCAGTGTCTGGTGAGGGCCTGCTTCCTCTTGAATGGCACCTTGTAGCTGTGTTCACACATGGTGGAAGGGGCACGTCAACTCCCTAGGGACCTTTTTATATGGGCACTAATCCAATTTATCTGGCCTCTGTCCTCATGAACTAGTCACCTCTCAAAAGACCTACCTCTTAATTCTATCACACTGGAGATTCATTTTTAACATATGAGTTTTGGGCGGGGGGATGGGGGAAGACACAGACACCCAAACCACATCAAAAAATCAGTTTATCCTCCAATTTGTTGTAACTGGTTCACAATTCTATTTTAATTTCTGCATTAATTATATGGCTTACTGTAAGATTTTCATAGTCAAGGACCCAGGAATGCAACAGATTTTGTGTTTGGCCAGAAAGAACGGAATTTTAGGATTTTTAAAAAATATACCTCTCCGGCTGGGTGCAGTGACTCATGCCAGTAATCCCAGTGCTTTGGGAGGTTGAGACCATCCTGGGCAAAATAAAGACTCCATCTCTTCAAAAAATTAGAAGATTAGCCAGGTCTGGCTAATCTGCACACCTCAGTCCCAGCTGCTCAAGAGGCTGAGCTGAGAATCGCTTGGGTCCAGGATTTTGAAGCAATAGTGAGCCCTGATTGTGCCAATGCACTCCAGCTTGGGCGACACAGCAAGACCCTGTCTCAATCAATCAATTAAAACAAAAAATATACCTCCCTCATAATTAGAAATAAACTGTGAGTTTTGAAAAGTAAAATGTTTATAAAAGTTAAATAAACTAATATAAATGATAAATGTGTACATAGGCACATACACGTGTTGAAAAGCTTTTATCAATTGTATTAATTATTTTTTGTTAATGAGCCATATCCACAACAACCGTGTGAACATTTGCCCTTTATTCTACTATGTATCTACATTTCCTTTTTCTCCAGCATCCTGGAGCTTTACTTTCCTATCTTACATTTGTTTTCTGTAGACCAAATCAGTTCTGAAAATTCTACATTTGGGGTAGCAACATGAACAGTCTGCTCTAATAAAGAATTCTCAATCTGATGATCCTTAGGATACTGAAAGATGAGGCAGGGTCTAAGATCTAGCAAAGGGTTTACTTTGTCTTATGAGGAAACTAGAGTTCCTGGAGCTTTCCCACAGGTTTGGCCTGCACTACCTGGACTGGTCTATCTGGGTCTGCTATAGAAACAAAGATAAAAATTAAAAATGTTAAACACTTCGCAGGACTGAACAATGAAAATGACAACATGATTAAATGTTGAGGCTTCCTTTCTCCTGATCACCAGTGTGCATTACTATATGTTCAGAAGAAGTTTAGAGACAAAAAACACCTCAAATACCCATCAACTCAGACTATTTTAAAAATTACACATCCATTCAATGGAATTCTATTCAGATATTAAAGCAGCAAAAGATGAGACAGCGTCATCTATAAAACATTCTTGCCAAAAATGTTTAACCTGAATCTTACCAACTTTACGGGAAACATAAGGAATAGCAGACAAGTGAAATAACACCATGCATAAACAAATAAATTGAGAACATAGAACGTTCTAACAAATACAATGCACAAACTTTGAATAGATCTTGGTCTGGGGGAGAAAAGTTAGCTATGAAGACATTCATGAGACCATGGTGGAAACCTGAATATACACTGAATATTAGATGACATTAGGAAATTATTTTCTTAGGTATGATTATAGTATTGTGGTTATATCTTTAGATAATTCATGCTGAAATACTTGTTTTGTTTTGTTTTTTTTTTGAGACAGAGTCTTGCTCTGTCGCCCAGGCTGGAGCGCAATGGCAAGATCTCCGCTCACTGCAACCTCAGTCTCCTGAGTTCAAGTGATTCTCCTGCCTCAGCCTCCCAAGTACTACAGGCAAGCACCACCACACCCGACTAATTTTTTGTATTTTTAGTAAAGATGTAGTTTCACCATGTTGGCCAGGCTGGTCTCGAACTCCTGACCTTGTGATCCGCCCACCTCGACCTCCCAAAGTGGCTGAAATACTTAATGGTAAAGTGTCATAATATCTACAACTTACATTTGAATGGTTCAACAAAATGTATGTGTTTACATACACATGTAGCTATAGATATAACAGATATAAATATGTAGATAGACAAAGGAAGCACATCTTAAAATGTTAGACTTTAATATTAAATAGGAAAAGAAGTTAATTAATTAATTGGGAGAGTACAAGAATACACTTTACAAAACAGTATGCAAAGGACTCTTCTAAATAAGTGTAGTTAACTACAAGCAATATATATATTAGTTACCATTCAATAGTTTTCAAAGAATAAAATTACAATTAAACTAAAGCTGATCAGGGAATTGCTTAACTTTTCTTGATTAGCCAGAATGCCATCAAGTAACCATACAGTACAAAGGTTGTTATAAATTGACTTAAAGTCATTCTCCAAAAACTGTTTTCTTGAACATACTTCCACATCAGCTCCTATATTTTTACAATTCCGTTATTTTCCTTAAAATGGCAAAAAAAAAAAAAAAAAATCTAAATTCCAAATAAACAAGATTTTTTTTGAGTGGGAGGGATGGAAAGAACAGTTATTTTGACATTTTAGGCTCCTTTTTAATCAAACAGTAGAAATTTTAACTTCTACTAGCACTCCACCAGTCAAACCACCTTAGGAATGTTTAGGTGATCAGACAGTCCCTTCTAGAAGGCACCTGGATATGAGCTGGTTGTGACTAAAGGGATAACAGTGGTTGTTAACTACTAATAATCTACTCAAAACCATATTTTATATGCACAAAGCTCAATAGCATTCAATAACAGAAAAAGCCACTTCCAAGTTGTTAAATGTTTATTCCATGGTTATTAATCTAATCATTTTGAAGAAAACTGGTCTAAAAGATTATACCCATCTAGTTAATAAGGAGTAATGCTAAAGCAAAGATAACTATAAGAGGGTGTTTTCTTTTAAAACTATACCTTTATTTTAGAGCAACATAAGCACTTTTGTTTGTTATACTACTAAACTTACTTCCTTAAAATCACTTTCCCCCAAGAACAGTGAGTGCTCTTTCTAAGTCACAGTCGAATGTGCTATTGTTAATATAATCATAAATTCTCCTAGCTGAGCCTAAGGGTGTATGTCATTATGCCATGCTGCAGGCAGCAGAAAACCAACCCAATGGGAAAAATGATGATTTGCACAGTTAAATTATATTTTTGCTTCAAATTTGTTTTTAAAGCTAGTTCATCTCTCAACGAAATCATTTTTTTAATATGAACACTGACATTCATACTAAGCAATTTTTCAGCTACTCTAAAAAACACAGTAAAATGTTGATGGATTTCTGGCTGGGTTTTAAATCCAGCTCCCCAAAGAGTAAGAACAACAGAAATGAAAGTTCCTGCAAAACCTTCAGGACAAAACATCAAGAGTGATTATTATTAACAAAGATACTCCTTTGATCTTAGATAACTACAATGTTTTCCCCTCTATGGCACAAAAATGGAGCCAGTAGCAGAAGTGGAAAAGAACTAAAAGGTGTTGCATAAAAATGAGAAAAAATAATGAAAAAGACAAAGCTGAACCCAACAAAACATCACTGATTTGTGGCACAGTGGAAAAATGAACTGAGATTTTGGTAGGAATTCTGAGAAGTTGTCATTTAACTATTTATAGAGTCAAGAACTGTTAAAGATATTCTTCAATATCATTTGCTAATCATTTATACTATGGTTATATCACCCTGCCTTTGAGAGTTCACCACAGTGCTGGTGGGGATACCTGGAGATCAGAACTTTCTTTCCCTGGCTAATGTGCCATTTAGCTGTTCACATTATGGGTTCATAAAATTAGAACCAGTAATTCCACCTATAGGTAATTATCAACATGCACGCAGATATATTAAGTTTGCTGTGTTCTAGATATGAAGTCTTGAGAACACTCGCTTAAGCTATGTATTGTTAAGGCTACTTGATTCAGACTATACATAAAAGGCTCTGATGAAACTAAAATATTTATTGTACCTAATTATGACTAGTTACTATCTAAACTTTATTACTATTGCTCTATGCATGGTAAAGCACTGAAGAAAAAAAGGATAAAGATCATATTTTTAAGGAAAGAAAAATACTATAATGTTCTTAATGAACATAAGAACAAGCTGTATACTCTGAAATGTGTCACACACAAAAACTAAGCAGCATTAAGTAGAGAGGATAATTGAGTTGAAAAGGAGAAATTTATATAAAATATAAGTTACTTCTTTTTTTCTCCAAACTGAAAATATCCCTGTGTATTTGAGTTAGAGAGCTGCTATAGCTTAGTTGGGTCACTGAACAAAATGCGAAAGTTCAGGCTTTAGACCTCACTAAAGAAAAAGGGTCTCACTCTATTGTATAGGCTGGAGTGCAGTGGCATGGCCATGGCTCATATAACCTCGAACTTCTGGGCTCAAGCAATCCTCCTGCCTCAGCCCACCAAGTAGCTGGGACTACCGGCATGTGCCACCATACCAGGCTAATTTTTTTTCTTTTTCTTTTTCTTTTTTTTTTAAGAGAAAGGGTCTCACCATGTTGCCCAGGCTGGTCTCAAACTCCTGGGCTTAAGTGATCCTCCCACCTAGGCATCCCAAAGTGCTAGGATTACAGGCGTGAGCCCCATCAGCTAGCAACGTGTTTTTAAAAATTACTTGAATGCTTTTAGGTAGGTCTTACAATCCAATCTGCTGACAAGATAGCCTAGTCTAACAAACTTCACACAAGTGTGTTATTTGTCTGACATTTGAGTTTGCCATCTGGCTTTAGACTTTAGTCCAACCCAGAGTATCTTCATTTATACTAACGTTTCTTCCCCTTCTCTTCCATTTCTTCCTGCTTTCTAGAAACTCATCAAGCCCTACTTCTGAAAGTTGAGAAACACTTTCTTTACTAACCTTAGACTATCTCAGCTAAAGTTCTGCAAACCTCCAAACTACTTCCTTCCAAATATCCCCAGTGGAAAACATCTATCAACCCACAGAACAGTTTACTATTAGTTATATTATTTTATCTAAGTGGGAAAAAACAGTGTTCTATGACCAAAAACGTTTGGAAAACATGCTGTATTATATTCTCCAGTCTGGAGATTCACAAGGCACAAAACCTACAGTAAATAAATCTGCGTATATGTGTTTAATTTAATGTATCTCTGATTTATTTGATCTTGAAAACCTTCTTCCTTACAACATTTGTTAACAATAAAAAGGAAATGGGACCAGGTGCAGTGGCTCACGCCTATAATCCCAGCACTTTGGGAGGCCGAGGCAGGCAGATCACCTGAGGTCAGGTGTTTGAGACCAGCCTGGCCAACATGGCAAAACCCTGTCTCTACTAAAAATACAAAAATTAGCCAGTCATGGTGACATGTGCCTGTAATCCCAGCTACTCAGGAGGCTGAGGCAGGAGAATTACTTGAACCTAGAAGGTAGAGGTTGCAGTGAGCCAAGATCGCACCAGTGTACTCTAGCCTGGCCTGGATGACAGAGTGAGACTCCGTCAAAAACAAGAAAAGAAAAGAAAAGGCAATGGTGCTCTGAGGAACACAGTTGAAAGCACTGCAATGCACGGAAGACAATTAAGTAAATGGATCACTGTAAAAATGCAATTCCAAAGGTGCTCATAAATAGATTATTGGCAACTAAAAGAGAAAAACTACCAGAAAGCCATGGGGCTCTGTGCTGAACTTTCTCACGCTTAGGCATTTTATTACAGAATCAGAAGAAAACACCATTAGTCAGTTTTCATCAAATTTCCAAGTCACATGAAGGCAAAGGAAGCTGGAAATTTATTGAAAGAATAATTATTCCAACAAATTCTGACAAGGCCGGATTTAGGTTTTATAAACACAGGTAAGTATTTAATAAAAATATATAGGTAGTCTTGAATTTGTCCCCCCATGCCCCACCCAGGAAAAAAAAAAAAAACCTATACAATAAAGAGTGAGGAAGACAGGACTTAACAGCATGTATAAAAAAAAAAACTTCAGGATTTTCATCAGTGCTAAATTCAGTATCAGCCAATAGAATTACGAGACCAGCAAGAAAGTTATTATAATTTTAGTCTGCTTAGTTAGCAGTATAGTTTCTAGAACTAGGGAAGTTTTTTTTCTCTCCCATTCTTGCATACACCTGTCAGGCCACATCTGGAGCTTCATTGAGAATCAGTTGCACAAATTTAAGAAAGAAATAGATGAGCTTGAACCTCTGAATGAATTAAGGGAATTTATTCTAAAAATAAAGCCATCGATAGGAAATATAATAGGTCATTTTAAATACTTGAAGAGTTATCATAGTACAGAGGTACTCAACTTGTTTTTTATGATGTAGAGCAAGAATGGTATACAGAATCAAATGATCCATGCTATATAAAGAGAAGAATTTCAACCTAACAAAAAGGTGAAGTTTTCTAACAAATTGTCCAAAATTGAAAGCTCTATTTCAAATGATAATCATAAATTCAATGACTTATGTCACCAACTATTATAGCCAGAATGTCACCAAGGGAATTCAAGTATCAAATGTAATGTATGTCTAGATAACTTTCAAACACACTCTCTCCAACACTGAGATTCTAAAATACTAGCCAAGGCAGCGTTGTCCCTTGGAGACAACATTATGACGAATAATGCAATTCACACAATCTAAAAAAGGGATTATCAGTGCCAGTGGTTGTGAGAAGCTGAATGCTGACTCGAGAGAGCTGATGGTTCAGCTTTCAGGATTTTGCAAGCCCATTGTTAAACACAGTGATTATTAAAACAAATTTTATAAACTTACTATTTAAAAATTACTCTAAAAGCAAAGCTAATAAACACTCAAATATCACTTCCTAACATTACTGTGTTAACTTGAAATCAATCCTGGTAGGATATTTACACCCGAAAAACTTGCAAATGCTACAAATCAGAGTTGGGTTGTTGTTTGTTGGTTTTTGTTTTGTTTTGTTTTTTGTTTTTTTGTCTGTTTGAGAGTGATTAAGCATTTATCAGCAGCATACCACATCAGTAATATCTTAGTCAAGAAGAATTGACTGGGCTCCCACATATACAGCTTGAGGCTGGTGGAATAGAAGTAGGAATCAAAGTAATTTTCCTCAGGAAACAGAAAAATTAGAAACAGGAAATAGTATCTGCACTTTCAAAAGTTGTCTGTCATCCTATTAAACTGTGGTACAATCATATAATAGTGTATAGCCTTCAAAAAGAATGATGCAAATCAATTTGTGTTAGGAAAATATGCAACAAACTACAGCAATAGACACCTCTGAAGAGAGATGGGATATTGTGTACCACTTTTAATTCAAATTTTTGCATTTTTGTTATATGCATGGAATCATTTAATAATAATAACAATACTATCATCAAACACAAAGAAAGAGTTCAACCTTGAGGTACACCTTGAGCATAAGGCAACAGAAGCAGCTATAATGTAGAGGAAAGAACAGCTTTGATAAAACAATAGAAATAGAAATAAAATTCTTAGGCCCCAGCAGGCACTATAATGGATGCCTCCCGGTGAGAAGATGATCATATATCCTGACTGTTCTGACTACCCTTCATTTCCTGTTCTTCTAAGAGAACTAGCTGCAGAGTATATATTCTTGCCTTTTTTATTCACTGGGAATAAGTAAAGAATGATTCTCAACTGGGAATGATTTTTGCTTCCTCTGGGACATTTGGCAAGATATGGAAGCAGTCTTGGTTATGGAAGCCAAGGAGTGCAACTGGCATCTAGTGGATAGAAACAAAGGATGCTGCTAAGCATCCTATGACGCACAGACCAGCCCCCCAAAATAAAGAAGTAACCAACCCAAAATATCAATAATGGGAAGGTTGAAAATCTATATACCACTGTTACTGAAGGCCACCTAATTCGATCTCTGTTCTCACAACCCAAGGGAGTCTAACCAAGACCCAGAGATTCTGCCTTCGCTAGAAAACATGACCACAGAGTCTGATCCAACATTTAGGAGGGCCAGCAAGGCTCCAATAACTGCCAGAAGGCATCTTGGGGAGGAGTTAAAAATGTGACAGTTGACCTAACAACTGGCAGAGATCATTTATCTCCAGAAAAACCATCTCATTGGTGTGTTAGCAGCATTTCTGCAAAGTATCATAATACACACACACAAAAAAATCCAAATACCAATTTCTCTGATAACATGTTACTATTTTTGAAGTCATGAAAAGTAAACTGGAATTATGAGTTCAAATACCAATTATCATTGTAGTTTTAAGTCCATTAAAATTGGATACGGTTTGCTACAGGCCATACTTTTGTAATTATTAATTCTATTGCAGTCTTCAGTCTGCTTATCTGACACCATTAGTTCTTCATCTAATGTTTAGGTGAAGAAATAAGTAGGGTTTAGCAGCCTACTTATTTCCCTAAACAGTCAGGCATTTGGCACAGGGTTTCACCCACAGTAAGTCACAATAAACATTTTATTAGTTAATTGAATAAAAAAAATTTTTAAAGGCTGCTATATACATGACCTTTCACCTTTGCCAGAGTCGACTGGCATTAGGTAATACCAGAGGTCAGTTACCATCCACAATATATCATTTTTAAATACTAATATCTAAAATGTTTAATATTTATAATTAGTCCCTCCTCTACCTAGTAGTAGGAGACAACCAGAATGTAACTTGCTTTTAAATGAAGATAAATATTTCCCTACAAAACCCACCAACCCACCTGTAGTTTCAATGGATTCCCCTCACCCATAGCCCCTATTCTGACATACTTTCTTCCTAGAATGTATAGGCAAGGCCATCATCTAGCTTCAGCCATTCTTCTGCCAGAATCCAAGTTGCCTCAGCCAAAAGGTGGCAGCAACTGAGACAGGCAAGAGCAGAGGAGAGCATCCACATACCTAGGAAGCTTAAGGCCGAGCTGTTTGAGGAGCTGATAAAGTGGGTTGCATGTGGGTAGAAGAGGTAAAGCAAGATCAAACAAGGCAGACCAATGGGAGACATATGGGCCAAGAATAGGCAAACAAATCTTTCGAAGTATGGATTAAAAACAATGTTGTCTGAAGCAACAACACATGCATGAGTAAGATGGGAACTGGCTGGAAGTATCCAAGAAAAAAATAAACTAGGAGATGAGATATCTGAAGTCAAAGCCAGGAGGGCCAAAATAGCAGCGTAAAATCCCAGAGGCAACCATATGCTCATATCAGGCAAATGCAGTCTACAGATGAATGGTTTCTCCATTCAAAAAGTTCCTTCAGTCCTTCCCCTTCCTCAGCCTTACTCAGGCCCAGGAATAACTAAGGCTTTCCTCCTCTACATCTCTTGCTAGTGAAAAAGAAAAAGGCTAGATATTTTTGTAGATTATGAAACAAATATCATTTATGAGCTCAAAATTTTAAATACAGTAATGGAGTTGGTATAACATGCTCTGTTTGCTCTGTTGCTAAATACACACAGTCAAAAATATAAGACAGGAGCATGGAATTGATTTACTCACAAATATTTTCTTTTCTAATCACAATGTGGTTCCCTGCAAAATCCATTATGATCAAAGATGCTCTTTAACCCCTTTGTTATCTTACTTTTCTGGTTTTTTTATATTAAATATTTATAATGGGCACTATTATTAATAGGGTGGTTCCCTGGAAGTACAGAAAAGGGAGAAAGGCTAATGTAACTGCCTGTACATAATTTTCCAAAACACAAAGTGAGGTCAGCAACTCCTTCTTTAACATTAGTGGAACTATTCATTGGTACCTAAATACAGGAAGCAGTGTCTTCCAAAGTGGTGTCTGCCTCAAACAAATTGTCAGTGTTACAATTTTCCATTTTACACTGATGTAAATCACACCAGTAATGCAAGCATAGCAATTAGCACCACCGCATGGGCCTAGCAGATAAAGTATATAAAGTCCAAACTCACAGGAACTGTCTTTTAAATAACTAATTTTAACAGAAATGAAAACATTCAGTCCCCCAAATCCATAGGTTAGGAATATGAAAGGAAACAGAATAATAAACAATCATCATTACTACCAGGAATACTAAATTATATATACACACACACACACACACACACACACACACACACACACACACATATATATACAAAATTTTTTGCTTACCTAAAGAACTGTTTCCTGTGTAGTTGCTTTAGTAATGTAGGAAAAAATTTGTACACCTATGGAAAACTGCATTGTCTACAGTACATCTTTCCTATGTATCTGATTCTGATTCTTTGAGAGCTGTTTTATAACTGTGTAAGTTGTAGATAATTAATAGAAAAACAAAATTACTTTTATCTATAGACATGCAAACTCTGAGTATAACTGACTTCCCACTGTGAAAAAGTCCGTTTTGCCTCCCTTTGTACATCTATTTCAATATTCCTGAACTAAAAATATGTATGTTTTTAAACTCTCCTTTGAACTGGTTATAACACCTTACTAGTTCCTTCTTTAATGATTTAAGTAAAATCTTTAACACTTGTTAATTTTACATCTGTATGAAACTCATAATTTTCTTTTTTGAAATTTATATTTTAACAGTAATTTTTGAGAAAATAATCAGCTACTTTTTGAAATGTAGGAGAAATATTGATATTTGCCATTGATGTTTTCTCAGTTATGCTGCTAAATTGAATCATGAATATAGCTATCACCCAGGAAAGGTCTAGAGGCTTTGGGACCCAAGGGTGATGAAGCTCCAAATCAGAAGCTGACAGTAATCCAGGTAAAGTGTCATCAACAGAATGGAGGCAAAATAGGGGTTCTATCCATGCTAGAGAAAGGGAGGGAAGATAGGGGAGCCCCCTGAGTAGAATGGGGTTCTTATTTAGGAACATAGAACATCCTCTGTTTTTGTAGTTTCATAGCTATATGGCTACCTCCCAAAGACAATCCTGTCCACTCTGCTTGCCAACCACGGATCACGTTAGGGCAATGCTTGTTGATTAAGGGCCTGTTTGCTGTATTTACTCTTGGTTTTTTAGGAATCCAATGAACATTATTCTCATCACATCCTATAATTGTGAAACAGTGTGAATGTTTAAAATGCTAGCAGTATATGATTAAAAATAAACAAAAGTACAGATGTAATAACTTGAAAATGATGAGAAAAAATGATGTATGATACATATATACAGGGGATACATGTTACTGATTATACAATTCCTCTGAGATTTCTTCTTGAGGATTGATGATGGAAGCAAGGGTTTTCTGCTCAAAAAGATGAAAGCTTAAAAGAATAAAACACATTCTGACTCTAATGTGTCATGAACTCACCCACAGAATACAGAAAGTATACCTCAGACTTCTCCATTCAAGGGCATTTTTTGCTATAAAAATAAATGAACCTTTTTTTTAAAATTCCAAAAATGGTAAATAAATTTTACCACCAATATATAGCATTCCTCATATAGAACTTGGTTGCAGAACCAAGCCAATATTCAGGAAAGTGTCCTCAGAAATAGCTAAAGCTTGGATCATTAAATAATTTTGTACAGAGGAAATTATATGCAAGTACATAAAAGTCCTGGTCTCTTTATGGAAGGAATTTCTCAATGCTAGAGGTTTGGGGTTTTTCAAATTAAAAACTTCCAGATGCTTAACATGTATGGTAGTACTAAGTCACACTTGTCAGACTTGCTGCTTAAAATCCTGGGAAATTGTCAGTATGTCTATAGGGGTTGGGAAGGAAATTTAGGAAATACAGTTTGTTTAGTTAAGTCTCTTTTTTTGTAGTTTATAATAGCTTTGGTTGGCATGTATCAGGGGCGTCCAATCTTTTGGCTTCCCTGGGCCACATTGGAAGAATTGTCTTGGACCACACATTAACATTAATGATAGCCAATGAGAAAAAAAAATTGCAAAAAGACTCATAATGTTTTAAGAAAGTTTACGAATTTGTGTTGGACTACATTCAAAGCCATCCTGGGCCACATGCAGCCTGCAGGGACATGGGTTGGACAAGCTTGGCCTATATGGTCTTTCCAGCCTTTCTTACTTGTTCAACTTTCCTATCTTTGTTGCTTTACTGATAGTCTTTTTGCAGAAGACAAAGTAACCAGTTAAAAAAGAAGTCATTTTCTCTTCCAGTCTTCCTTGAAGTCCATACTTTGAGACTGTGTATTAAAGAGAAAATAAATTGCTCATCAACACTTGATAACTTGTAGAACTGCTGTGTCATTCTGTGTCCTACCAGACAAGTGACGAAGGTGCTTCACTTAGCCAAACAACTGTCCACAGCTAGCTACTCATACAGTAAACAGTGCTGCTGATGACAGTGGGCATTCATTTCAATGCGAGGTAGAGTATTGTCTTTCAAATTTTCTTTTGCAGTACTTATTACAGTACGATTGCAGCCAGATTTATACTTTCTATGTGAAATGTATTGTATATCTTGCTCACTATTGGCTAAAATCCTGTTAATTCCTAGAGACTTCTTCCTAGTACTACTTATGTGCAATTCATGTATTCTCATTGTGCCATCAATTTAAATTTCAATATACAAACATCATCATTTTTATACACAACCAAAAATCAAATCAAGTAAGAAAGTCTCAGAGATCTTAGAAGTATCTTTAGAAGATCCTAGAAGTCTTATAACGTATATTTTCTATAAATAACATAATTTAGGGGAGAGTTATTTTTCATATACTACCTTGTGGACTAAATATTAACTATTCATCAAAAAATCAAGTGCTTTAAGTAAATACATTTTAAAAGAATGAATTGCTGTAACTTGGTAATAAAGCTCCATATGAATATCTAGAATTAAAAAATAAGTAAAAATATAAGGGAAGAAATTTGAAGAAACACAGAAAATTGTCATTAAAAGAACAAGAACAATATTGTCACTTGAAGTCTTAAAAAATAAGTGACTTTAAGAAAAAGGATGAAGTGAGATGTAGATTTTTCTAACGAACAGTACCATGCTCAGTTACACAGTGCATTTACCCAGCTTTCCTGTGACACTATTATTACATCAGCTTCCTTGCTAGAATACTCTGACCCATTAAAGAGATGATATTATATGAATAGTCACTTTTAGACTTTAATTTGAATACATAATTTTACTACCATCATCTAGTCATGCTTACAGTACAGTATTTCAAAGATCACTTCTGTGTTGACAAGTGTAAGTCCTCTGGGGCTTGGACTTGCATTAATTTTCTAATAGTGTCCTATGGAGTCCTAAGGTTCTTTGGAGATGCCTCAGGGGCCAGCATCGGGGAGAGAGGTGGGCAGCAGAAAGAAAGCATGGAGGCTATTGGCTTCTGCCTGCTCTAGTCTCTGAGGTCAATCAGTGTAGCTAACATTGCTTCCAATTTCATATTATGGGGTTTCTCATATAATTTCATTTTTAAAAAAGGTTCAGCCTTTTAAAGAAATGTTATAAAATCCCTGTACTAATTAATCTCCGAGATTTGTATTAGTTTTAATATGTTATGGCTCACAAAGTTCTCAGAGAAAATGTTTAAAAGGCATGGGGATGAGAATAGTAATGCATGGAAAGAGATGCACCATATTAAAAGCCTCAACCCACATTTTCAGATCTTCATCATAAACATCTTGCTGTTTTACAGAGAACTTTCTATAGAGAGCTCTACGATGAGCCCTAGAGATACATAGATACAAACCAGAGCCCCTGCCAAGGAGTTCACAAGTGAGATTAGTAATACAGCTGTACCATGAGACCGCTTATCTGGGAAGAGACTGTAAGTATATCTATGGGGGTTTGGAGAGCCCGTAAGTGACACTGGTAGTAGAACAGAATTATACCATGAGACCACTTACCAGTTAGCATGTGTCAGGATCTGCCCACAAAAGTCACTGGATCCTTGACCCACTTAACCCACTTGATTCCCAATCAAGTTGATAACCATCCTGAGAAAAGCAGTTATTTAAGAAGCATTTTTCCATTTGAACATCATCTGCTCTGACCTTGTGCCCTAATTCTTTCAGTAAAAAATGATTTTTAGTGTTCCAAAGTTCACTTAGGAGCCCTAGAACCGGCCAGCATTTCTGGCATGACTTTAAAGTAAAAGCATTGGTTTTTGAATGTGGTTTGTGGAAATCACTTTCATCTTATGATCATATCATATATTATCTTAAAATGCCAGCTGGAATCTGGAGTCCCTGAGATGACAAATTGGGGTTTCATAATTCCTGGAAGGGTAATACAAACAACTTAACCTTTGACAGCTCCCAGCATTGACCTAAGACATCAGAATGCTAAGAAATGGATCAATTTTCCTGACATATTTCACTGTAGCATCTTAAAGATCAAAAATGGAGGTATAATACAAAGCTATAACAGAGAATTCCTCTGGCTCCCTAACTATTGTCCAGAATTATATAACAATAAGAACTCTAAAATATCAAGCTTTCTAAGTATGATGATAAAGAAATATGATTCTGAGAGCTAAGGGGATAAAGGGGGCTTTTTCCTCCCCTCTTTTACTCTCCTTACACGTGAACTCTTTGGTAAACAAGGGAAAAAATAGACTTTACCCCTTCCCTGACCAGCTACTTTTAGTTAGACAGATTCTGACTCTCAATATTACCATAATGTACAAACTAGAGCTGGCTACAATTCATACAATTTACTCAGCCACTTAGCCTAAATGTGAAAATTGTGTTTTAAAATGTGCTGACCACACTTCAAATACAAGAATAAAAACATTGTGTACATAAACCAGGAAACTAGAGCTCCTAAAATCTAAATGATTAACACGCAAATGAACAGACATAGTCTTGGTATTCATGACAAATAAGGTCTACATCTACTAAATATGACTTTATAGCAAAAAGATGAATTTAGCAACAAGACTAAATAACACAATATGAAGAAAAATAAAAAATGCGCTTCAAATCTCATATTATGTGGCAACTTAACATTGAAATGAAGACTCCAGATGACATTATGTCAAAAGCATGACAGTGATTCCAAATGATTCTGGATTTTGAGAAATTCCAAAATGTAAGTACAAAATCCTCAACAGGTAAGTTCAATTACATTTAGTTCATTTATTCTATCTACTGGGACACTAGCTTAAACTTCATATCTGTGAATTTATCTACTAAATGAACTATTTGACTAATATAAATGTGAAATCTACTAGATGCTTTTAAATATCTTAAAGCTGATAGGACACTAGAGTTTTCAAATATAGGTGGAAGAAATTCCTTGCTTCCTCCATGAATCTTTTTCATTGCAAACAGAAGTCAAAAGATAGAAGTCAGCTAGGGGTTTAACTGGGAAGGAGGCAGAAGAGAGGAAGTACGCTATTCAGCTCAGTTCCTCCTCCTAGAGGTCACAAAGGGGAGGTGCCTGCCATCTGGTGCCATTTCCTCAATGGCTCCTTTCATTTAAATGAATCACAGAATAGTCATTTGGAGGAATATATGATGCCAATGAAAAGTGCTCAATTTTAATTTGTAAGTGATTTCCACTTACTTCTGCTTCTCACTCTTCTATACTTAACTTTTTTAAAACAGTCAATTTTAAAATAATATTTCTTAATTGCAAGATTTCTGAATAAATCCCAAATGAAGCAGTAACTATCCATGTCTAAGAATTGAGTATGTGGGCATACTACAGTAATTTTTAACACAAACCAGGGAAAAGGTGCTAAATATCATGGTGCGTTAAACCACCACATGGAACTTCACCCATATTGGCAAACCAGGGAGGCTGGGGATGCATCTATATTTAACCATTGCACACTAGGCTATAGCCGCAGCCCGGATTGACTCATACATTGTTTTCACATTCTCAGCTTCCTTAAAACCACCAAATAATTGTTTATAAAGTGATAGTATGAAATAAAAACCTTTTTCATGATAGGTTCTGGACGGTTTCCACTCAGGATAACATAGATTGATGTTATTTGGATAAATGTCTTGTGAGGTTCCCTGAAACAGGAAATGCCCCCCAGGGCTGCAAAGCAGTCCTGATTCTGACATATTTCCCCATCATCTCTCCATTCACCTAATCCTGTTAGTAAGAGGATGCCCCTTCTCCATCCCTAGACCTAAGCCTGACATTCAGATACTATTTTCATTAACATCATGTAGTTGATTTTGCACAATTACAAAGCAATCAGAAGCACAGTAGGATATTATGGCCCTGAGAGGCTTCTTATGTCTACATATAATTTGAATGAGCTAGAATGAATTAAACTCTATGCAGAATTTGTATCCTTCTTTTAAGTAATTCCCAGCTCATGAAAAAATAGAATTATTAAGGTAAGAAAGAGAAAAGAGTAGTTTAAGAATTAGCTTCTTAAAAACTTGTAGACAAGAGAAGCTAAGAAACAAGAACATTGCTTCAAGAGGCAATTTGTCATTGGCACTTTGGGTGACTGGGCATTTTTACCAGCTGTCACTCCTGGACCAACTAAAAGTGTTAGATCCACACTGTTGTACTCATTAGGACTGAAACAATTTAACATGGATGCTTGAAGGCACTCAGATGTCACATTGTATTGTTTGGCCTTATAAGAAGAGAGGAATGCCTGCTATTCTCATTTAAATAAAATTTATAGCATTTTAATTTGATTTCTTTCTGCAAACTGTTTCTGACTATGCTTTACCTTACATAATTGAAAATCTACACATTATTATCCCCTTACTTGATGCACTCTTTCCATAGATTGTGCAGTGTTAAGATAAAAACATATAGCATAAGTGAAAAACCATGTATACTAGGAAACACAAGTTTTATGTGAGAAAGTAAATTTATGTTAGAAAGGTAATTTAAAGGTTCTTCTTATACAATGGGAAAGAGTACACAACCATCAAGCTACAGCTAACATTTATTTCCACCCAAAAATGAGAACATAGGCAACGAGGTCAGTCACCAGGGGCAATATCATTTGCATTTATGAATCTTGCTTGCCTATGTGAATCGCTTGCCTACATGTATTCTTATTTTGTACACCATCATTTTCATGGACTTGGAATGTATAGAGAGACCTCAGAAGTTACCTAGTGTATCTTTTTTATCTCTAGTTAAACTCTCCAAGCAAATGACTAGCTGTGTTACATTGAATGATTATCACAAATGTACAGGAGCCAGGTCCAGTGGTACTGTTCAGTAAGCCAGACAAAAAGTTTCTCTCCTTATTCAACCTAACTCTCCCTATTTTCAGGAGAAAAGTAGAAGAATAAGCCATCATCCTCCTGTCTACAACAACCCTTTATATATTAAAAGTGCCTTTTTTTGTTTCACATGGGGTAAGTATACCAGGTATCAGTGTACCTCTATCTGTTCATAAATTCTTGGAGACCTAAAAGGCAAATCAGCTTTTTATCCATTGCTAGAGTTTTTATTTTCATCGGAAACCAGATTTTCTCTATTGTGAAATTCTAGAAAAGAATTATACTTTTTTCTTTATTTTCCCCAGAGAAAAGAAAAATAAAATCTTTGGGTTTACAAAAATGGAAGAGATTTTAGTCATCTGCCCCAAAGCACACTATACTTTTTCTTGGTTGCACTTGTCATACCTGTACATTCACATCATTTTTAAAGATTTGTCTGTCATCCTCATCAAAATGTAAGCTTCTTGAGGGAAGATACCAAGTCTGCCTTGTACATCAACATTTTCCCAATGTCTAGCACAGTATTTGGCATACAGCAGCCTTTTCATTTAACCTGAAGAACTGACAAATGCCCTTCAAAATCATTCTTGTCCAGCACTCCTATTTTGGAGATATGAAAATAGAAACTCTAAGAGGTGTTCTTGGAAATGACTTCCCAAAATTGCATAATAAGTTAATGACAAAGCCAGGATTAGAACTTTGGATTCTTTATTCCGCATCCACATTCTTCGTTCATTACACCACAGAGGTTCTTATACCTAATATCCTGGGCAGGCAACACTACTGATGAGTAAGATACAGAAATCTTTGTAATCTACACATCTTTTGGTTGGCTGCCTGGTTCCCAATGTTCTTTATCAGTTGAAACATAAAAACCTTCTCATAGATATGCCTGGTTTATGCATATTTTATATAGGACTCCAAGAACAGAACCCAAAACTAAATTCTACAGCCATAGCAAAGAGCCAACTTATTCTTTCCAATTAGAGTTGAATTTTACAGAGGCCAAGCCACAGATGCCAGCTGAATTTCTCTGGTTTGGTTACTGCTAAACCAAATATTCTGCTAAACACAGCTTCAATTTGTATGGAAATTTTAAGATTATTATTTTTAAAATTATCATTTTGGGTTTCTTTAAACCAAATATTTTTTAAAATAGAGCTTTTCTGACTGCATGAAAGAAATAAATGCAAGTTTCCCAGGGTGACAAGATGATCTAAAACTGGATTGTGGTGATGGCTGCCCAACTCTATTAATCTGTTTTAAAAATCTTAAAATAGGTAAATATTAAAAATTTTACTGCAATAGGCTATTTAAAATTGAAAAGGAGTCACATAATTAAGCTACTTCTTTTTGTAAACATCTGGTATTAAAACTGTAAAGATATTTTTTAATATCCCCATGGTCTTTTAAGCCCAGGTCCTATCCACTTCAATCATGGTTTACCTAAAAGGTCAAAAGTTTTCCCTGCAATTTTTGTAAGAATAATTTAGGAGACTTATATAAATATCAAAAAAGAACCAATCTTTATTTATATAGCACCAAGAAATACTGACTAGTATGATTATCTCATGAATAATCTACAGATACATTTGTTTAATTAAGTACAGTGTTCTAGTCCAAACCTGCCATTAATTAGCCACTGGGTTTTTAGCAAATTATACAACATCTCCAGGTCTCAGTTTTCCCACCTATTTCATGTGTCTCTGTAGATCACAGCAGAGCTAAGTAGCATATAATATACTAAAAAGAATAGTAATTACTATTGTCTAATGGATAGCCACTAATATACCAGACTATTTAGGTAAACTATTACCCTAAGGAAGGTATTATTAGTCTTTTTTCCTTTTCTTTTTTTTTTTTTTTTTTTTTTTTTTTTTGCCGATGAGGAAATTAGAACATAGGGAAGTTCATTAGTTTGACCAATGTACACAGCTATTTAGTACTAGATCCAGGATTCCAATCCGGAATTATCCAGGTCCAAAACCTATACTTATTCTCTATTCCTTGGTAGACTGGGCTTTTAGTTCTATCAGATGTGGGCATGAATCCTGACTTTGCCTTTACCATGTTAAGTTAATCATCTTCTCTGAGTCTCAGTTTCCTCATCTGTAAAATGAGACTGCTAATACTTCAGTCAGGGTCATTGTGAAAATTAAATTAGAGAGTACATCCCCTGCCATTAGAAGCCATTTTTAAAAAATTGTCCTTTTCATCTCTCTCTCACAGAGGTTCCTTTTTGTGCATAAAAATATATCTATAAATTCTATGATTACCCTTAGAGCCTACCTGAATAAACCTCACTGGGACTGAGTTCTATCAAAAGAAATGAGTGAACACAAACAACACATCATTGCTTCTTTGCTATCAGTCCTTGGCTCTGTGACTAAAACTGTTAACAAGAGTGTTAACTTCAAGGGGTGGGCATCTGTCCACAGGAACTGAGCTGAGGTCACAGACTTGTCTCACTCTGCCCTACAAACAGATGTCTAGGTGACAACTCTTAGTCACTGCAAACCAGGGCTAGAGCCAAACCAGGTGGAAGTGCTGAATCTCTTTTCTAATCCTCTTGGTCAGCCCATTCATTCCCTAAGACAACTCCTCACTGGCCGTATTAGAAATAAATAGTTTTCCCCAAGATATTATTTTCAACGTAATGTCCTTATTTTGATGATGTCTGATTATTCCTCAAGCAAAAGGGAGTATTTCCATAATAGCAGTTTGTCAGCAAGAAACCTGCTTGATTCTGCATATTAGAATGCACACCTTCAAATGTTTACCTTGGAAGCTGCCAGGTAAAAACTGATGTAATGTGGAGCTCTGGTGGTGGCAAGAGGTAAAGCAGCTATTAGTGGGAGCCAACAAAAAAGCCTAGGAAATCTCCATTTATTATTACGTTCACATGCTAAGATGAAAAATGGTCCAAAATAATCTAAGATAATATACAGTAAATTTTAAATGTAATAGATTTCTTTTAGATTGCAAGTTAGACTTCAGTAGCTAGCCTACATTAAACATCACGAAACAATTATATCTTCTCAAAAAATAGAACTCAATGTTGTGGTTGTCACTTTTCTATTTTTACTAAGTTTATTAAGAATTCTATTAATTAAGCACTAGCTATTTTTCACAGAGCTAGTAAGAATATTGTATACAAAAAAATGCTGGACTCTACGTGGTATGATCAGTGAAGTCCTGCACCAACTGTCCTGGGAATTTAAATAATCCCTACAGGCTGATGAGGTGGTTGAGTTAATTCCCACACTAGAAAAGTGCCTTCCTTGAATATCTGACTTCTGAGATATTTTCCAACATAAAACAACTAAGAATGAGACCTACACTGTCAAAGGTTAACTCTGTTTTTCTGGTACCTAACATATATGTCTTCTCGATCAAAAGGGCTTCATTTTAAAGATATAGCTCTATTATGTTCAAAAATTTAACAGAATATAAATAGTAAAATTTGTATAAGGTACAACCTGGAGTTGACATTTAAAATTTCTAAATGTGGTGCCTTGTGTAGCTCTGCCAAAACAAGTTATCATGAGGGGGAAACGTTTCAGAATATGAAAAAATACAAGAACTTGCCTTTTCATATATAAGCACCTAAGTATCATGTTGCTTAATACTAAAGAAATTTTAAGAGACTCACTTTCCATGAGTGATGATAAAAGAAACTATCATGTTCATAAATGTATTAACAATGTTTATCTGAAATAAACATCTCAACTCATGGGAGTTTTTCATGACTTACATGAGTTGAATCCACTAGATGTTTCCAATGGCCATATTCCAAGGGCTTCTAAATTGTTAGGTCTAAGATATCTACCAAGCCCTCAAAGGTCCATGAAGGAAGATTTAATGATTACCCAGGGGTCTTATTCATGATGTCCTTCTTCTCTGTCCTTCTACTAATATGCTGCCTTTAATATAGTTCCCTGAAGCTACACAGGAAAAAAAGGTAAAAATATAAGAGCCTCTTCTTCAAAAGTCACTGAGAATGCAAGAGTTTGTAATGGGAAGCTCAAGATAAAGAAATCATTTTCTTTCAGTCATCATCTCTAGCTATAGGATAGGAGATGGAATCTTTTTAATAGAACAGAAACAGCAGGAAAGGAAGTGAAGGTGGTTTACTAACATAAACGTATGCCAAAGGGAATAAACCAAAACAAAAAAAAAAAAAAACTCTGCACTAACACAATAAGAGCGAGCCAGGAATTCAGAATCTAACAGTTCTACAGTCCTTTTCACTGTAGACATTAAGACAATTTAATTGAAGAATATTTTTCAATCTGTGAATCTAAGAAGTTTGTCCTTGTACATCACCTTGCCTATATTTTCTTTGGTGATTATATCCTTTGCTTTCCCATAACAGGCCTTGGTATGCTGCTTAAAATAATATTTGGGGCTTTATTTGCCATCCTTTTGAATGAGACATGTTGATTTTATTAAAGCAAGTTGGGTCTGCATTCTTTCTTTACTATTATTACAGGTAGACTTGACAGACACAGGACCTTTGTTTTAAAATGCTCTGCTCTGGAGGAAACCTTGTTAAATAAGTTCCATTTTACCTGCTGGGCAGTTACATTCTGAAGGTGCTTCTCTTGCGATTCTTATTTTAGCCATATGTTCATAGGATTTCTGTAGGAAAAGAAGAGTTATTAATAATCATCAGTAGCACTGTAGAGGGATGGAGTCTTTAGGGACTCTGGCCATACGCCTGATTTACCGGCATTTCATAACCTGCATAACTAACATTTACATATGTACTTGGACTCTAGTCAAGAAAGTAACCATGCCTAAGTCCTAAAAAAAGAAAATGACCACTGATAGGGTATCAAGATTGCTGGACTTGTATAACATCTTTCTCCATTCTTCTCTACCACCACTCTCTCCCTCAGCTCAAGCATATGCAGTCAATGTAAAAACCTAGCACTAAAATGTTGCAGTATTAGGTAAGCTGTGGCTTACCAATAACAGCCAATATTTTATACATGAAGGTCAACTGCTTTATTTATCATGCTAGGCTGCAACTACTGCCAAATAGGCTCCCGGCTAGGGTAAGGTTCCAGAAAACCCCCTTACTCTAGTCTAAAGGTACCCTTACACATAACATAGATTCCTCTCAACTCTCAATTCCAAGGGCTCTGCATTCATAAATACCCCGGCACTGCATCCTTTACCAAAAATAAAGCTACTTTAAAAAAAAAAAGTTTAAACTTTTAATATGAAAAGATTCAACGTGTGAAATTATTGATTTTAAATTATATATGACATTATTTTACATTTAAGAGTGATTACCTTTTTTATATATTAATAACATCTATGACCCTAACCATCTTACAACATGTAAAAGATTTAACAGATGCTATCTCTGCAAGAAATATTCTCTCCACAATTGGGTTTGACTTAGGACAACTAAAAAGAGATAAAATGCCCTTTCCGAACCCTTTTAGACCTTCCTATGTGTTTAACACGCAAACATTAAGAGAGAGTGAGGGAAGATTAGAGATAGGGATGGGGACATCAAGGGATGTGCACATATAAATATATGCTACAGTGAGCATAGATCCTTGGCCAACACATGCACGCGCGCGCACACACACAGCCACACCAAGTATGGGTACAGTAAGGGTAGCGGCTAGTCATGCACACAGAGTCACGCTTGTACAAGATGTTACCCACGTGCAAAATACCCCAGCCTCTCACACCTGAGCCAGAAGTCGCTCCACTTTCTCTTGCACCATAGTCTTGAGGTGATCCAGGGTATCAGGCAGCAGATGAATGGAAGGGGCCCCTTTGGCGGATTCGAGAGCGGCGATCCTCGCCTGGAGGTCGTTGGTTTTCACACCCAGGTACAGGCAAGACACCACGGCCACCACTGACAGGAGGGCCGCCAGGACGGCACACGGGGGCATGGTCCGGGCACAATGCTGTTCGGCAGGGGTCGGGTCCTCGGATCTGGGCTCCCGGCCCCCTCCTTTCCCTGCGTGCTTCTTCAGCAGCATCGTGGCGGGGTCGGCCGTCTCGGCTTCGCTTCCCACCCTCTACACCTCAAATAATCCTAAAAGGAAAGAAAAAGGTCGATTCCTCCAAAGTTCAGTCCCTGTGGCTGCACAACTAGTTGGTGGAGTCAAGCCCACGAGCGGATACGGACCCCTGCCTTGCTCAGCGTCCAGACCCGCAGGCGTGCACCATCCCCGCTTTCTTCTCTCCTCCCAGCTGGAAGTGAAAAGCACCCTCCGTCCGGGGACTGGGTGGCGGTGGGGTAAAAAGCAAGACGAAACCCACCCAGACAGCTCTTCCGACTCCCAGAGGACCGACACCTCTTTCGAGGGCCCCAACAGTGGCCGCTCAGGGTCCGAGGGCAACGGCCGAGGCGCCACGCGGGGCCGCGGCTCGCCCTGGCCACGGAGGACCGGACCTGTTGCGCCTCTGTGAGTTTGCCTTATTTCTACCTACTCGGTGTCTTTCGGCACGCCGACCTGTTTCCCACCTGCATTCAGTTCAAGGCAAAAAGGCTGTGAGAGCACGCTACAGCGCAGCGCGAAAGGGGCGACTAAGGTGGAGAAGAGAGAGGAAAACGAAATAAACCCAAGGAACCAATGCTACTCGCGAAGCCGAAGTCGCGGCTGCCCGAAGGATCTCCGCAGCCCCGCGTGCGCGATCCTTAAATACCCTTCGCGATGCTCGCGTGAGTGTGTGTGTGAGTGTGTGAGTGCGCGCGCGCTCCGAGCACGACGTCCCTCCCCCGACCCCCTCCCGGCGCCCGGCGTCCGGCCTGCCGCTCCCGCTGCTGCGCGCCCCCCTTCCGAAGGCAAAGCAGGAGCCCGCCTTATTATCATAATGTATTCACCTTGGCCCAGCCCGCGGGCCGGCCCGGGGAACCCCCAAGGGAGGCGGGAAGCTTGGGTGGGAGCGGGGCAGGAGGTCTGTTATTAGCATAATGTATGCAAATAGCTGGAGCGGCCACCGTGATTGGAGAGGAGCCTGGCGACCCCTCCCCCTGCGCGGAGTAACTTCAGCATCTCCGAGGGCCACCTCTCTGGCCTGGGCCGGGGCCGAAGCGGGGTCGGCTGCGCAAGAGGCGGCAACTTTGGCTTATACTGACTCAGCCCAGCGCCCCCTTTTTATCCCACATAAAAATGGAGAAATGGCCTCCGGGAGGAAGATGTGAAGCGGCACGCTCTATCTCTACTGATCTTCACTCAAAAGCAGCCGCAGGAGCTGTTGCTATCTCGCTGTGGTGCAGCGCTTTTCCCTCCTCCCTCACTTTCCCACATGCCCAGAGGCAAAGTGTCTGGCCGACGTCTGAGGTACATTTCCCCACTTCCCTTCTCTTCCCACTGCAGCCCTCAGATTGTCCAACGAGGGGAAGTTTTCCTTCCCCTCCCCCAGTTTCCTTGTCTTGACGGCACTGAGTCTCCTCCCAGCTCTGTATTCCTAGTCTGTACTAGGGTGCTAATGTGTTTTCCTGATTCCCTGTTTTGCGGGATTGGAAAAGGGAGTGTTGAGGTATACACATTTCTCAGGATTTAGGAAAGGAATGAAGAATGAAGTCAGTTTTTCCTTTTACCTGACTCTTAATGCTGTTCTCTCTGGATCAAATTACAAGGTCTCTAATGGGATTTTGGAAAGTTGGTAACAAGTAGCATTTGACATCTAATTGACTTTGGGGAAAACAGAAATCCCACCTCTTATTCCAAAGAGTTCCTTCTTATCTCCCTATAAAAAAAAAAACCATATATTTTTCCTATTCTCCTTAATTAAGCTAACCTGAAGTCGTTGCTTACTATTGTAAACAGTCAACAAAATACTTCACTAAGTTGGTCTTTCACATGTGTAAACGGATATTGCTAGGTGTGAAGCAAGGTAAGGAAATAACAGCATTAGAGGAAGAAAGAGACTAACATTGGAGGAAAACTCAATGAATTTGGCTATAAAGTCAAAACCATAATTCATTTGTATTACACAGTGGTTCTCAAAGGATGGTCCTAGACCAATAACATCAGCATCACCTGAGAACTTGGACATTAAAATTCTAGGTTCCTACCACAGATCTGAATCAGAAACTGCTACTACCACTACTGAAATAATAATTTTAAAAAAAACAGCAATCTGTGTTTTAACAAGCCCTCCAAATGATTTTGATATATACTACTAAAGTTTGAGAACCACTGGTATAATACTTTCCAAAATATTTTCAAATACTTTTTGTATTTGAACCTCATAACCCTGCGATGTGAGGATTTACTGTTCCTCTTTTAAATATAAACAACGTTTTTAAATAAATTTTAAAACAGATAAATTTCAAGTCACATTTAATTGTGATTAAACATGTTTCCAATAACAGGACCCAAATAATGGGTACAAATATTTTAATGTACAAACTCTTTCTGTAACCTCTAGCTGTTCCTTAGTCTCATTTGCAGGCTTTTCCTCTTTCATTTCTCTGAAAGTTGGTGCTCCTTGGGTCTCTGTCTATTCCATCTTCTCTGTATACTCTCTCCAGTAGAGTTCCCATTACACTGATGAGTCATAAATTCATATCAAAAGCCCAAACCTCTCTCCTGAACCTCAGATCCATATAGCCAGTTGCCTCTTTGTCATCTCCGTTTGGATGTCTCACTCTCATTTCCAATGTAACCTGCAGCTTACCTCCAAATTCTGTCTGCTTCCTCTGTTTCCCATCTCAGCCAATGGAGTTGCCATCCATCCAGTCTCCCCAAGCCAAAATACCCAGTTGCCGGCCCTGACTTCTCCCTTGCCCTCCTCTCCTCATCTATTTAGAGTCCTTCAATAATTCTGGTTGTCCTTAGGACAAAGATCTTACATCTTTCAACCCCCACAACAAAGCCCCCTGTCTACCATCTCACTAGCCTCATTGCTCATTCTTCCTCTCAAACTCTCCACATCAGTTTCTCTGAAGTATGGAGACAATGAGAATAAAGAGCTTTTTCTTTTGGACAACATACCACTCTTAAAATTTCAGTAGAAAAGCCATTTTCTGTCTTGACTGATGCCTACAGTAGGTTACACATTTAATTTGGATGATGCAATGTTCTTATAGCATGCTTTGTGTAAATTGGCCATGAGAAGGTACATTAACAACTCTGGCAAGCCTTCAGCACTATTAGATCTTAGTAGAGAGATAGAGTTGGAATTTTGTGGCTTTGAGATCTTTATCCAGAGGATTAGATTTGCTTTATGTCTTTGGTGGGCACAATACCTCAGAAATTTACCAGCCATTAGCGCTAAGATTTCAAAACCTGGTAGACTCTCTGCATCAAGCACAGAGAACGTGTGGATCAACAAAGCTCTGAGGATTTGAACGCATGCTGTTCTGTAGATTGATCAAAGCATAGTTATTTTGGTTCCCATGTGGAGGCTTCCAAAAAAGTAAAAATAGTACTAAAAATGCTATAGTCTAGCTGACTCCAATTTGCCTGACTAATATCAATGGTATTAATAGTAAAATGCAAACAGCTGGCTATAGGACAGGTATGCAGTGGGAAGAATAATGGACACCCAAAGATGTCCATGTCCTAATCTCCAAAACAGTGAATGTGTTACCTTGCATGCTGAAACAGATTGGCAGATATGATTCAGTTAAAGATCTGGAAGTGGGGAGATTTTCTTCAGTTATGTTGGTGGGCCCAGCGTAGCACAAGGGACCTTCTAAGTGGGAGGGAGGGTCTCAGAGTGAGAGGCAATGTAACAACAAAAGCAGAGGTGAGAGTGATGTGAATACTGGTGTAGAAGATGGAAGGGAGTCACAAATCAAGGAATATAAGCAACTTCCAGAAGTTGCAAAAGATGAGGAACAAGTTCTCCTCTACAGCCTAGAGAAAGAACACAGCCCTGCCAACACCTTGATTGTAGGACCTCTGGCTATCAGAACTATAATTAATGTTTGTATTGTTTTAAACCACTAATTTGTGATAATTTGTTACAAGAGCAAAGGAAACCAATATCATCGCAATCACAGGAAATCAATGTTCATCTGCTACAGCATAAGTGATATTGGAACCACCATAATGCCCTATAACTCAAGCAGGCCCTGTAGTAACAAAGCCCTGTCTGTCAAATGTTTATACATTTCTATTTCATTGATATGCCCACTGGGAAAGGATCAGAGAGATATGCCCTCTCTCATGTCATGTAAAATTAGGATGCCCTTTATGAAGGCATATTAAACTGAATAAAATAATTTGTTTCCTTGATTCCTCCCATTAATGCAACTCAAAAACAATAAATCATCCAAGCTGTACAGTCACTGTCATCTCTCCTCCCTACTAATGCTAGCCTAGCCAGGATCCTGACCCAGGACTCAGCATTGCTACTGCTTGTTTTGTTTATTTATTTATTTATTTATTTTGAGAGTGCATCTCACTCTGTTGCCCAGGCTGGAGTCCAGTGGCATGGTCATGGCTCACTCCAGCCTGGACCACCTGGGTTCAAATGATCCTCCCACCTCAGCCTCCTGGGTAGCTGGGACCACAGGTAATCACCAGGCTAATTTTTTATTTTTTGTAGAGATAGGGTCTCACTGTGTTGTCCAGGCTGGCCTCGAACTCCTGGACTCAAGTGATCCTCCTGCCTTGGCTTTCCAAAGTGGTGGGATTACAGGCATAAGCCACTGCACCCAGCCCACCACTAGTACTATTGTTACCAATCTCCATGCCAGAAAAAATGAAATAAAGACTAATGACAGAGAGGCACATCAGGAAGTTTAATAAAGAAAGCACCTGGAGAAAGAGCAAGAAAAGATAAAGCAGAAAATTGAGACAGAAGAAAGGAGCTTTTTAAGTGGGTAAAAGTGTTCATTTTTAAAAAAGAAAAAGACATAATCCACTCCTGTATACCTCTAAGAGGCTAATCTTTAAAGGAGATAAAGCATAGAAGTGAGGAACTAACGTATATTAAAATTTCTGATGGTTTATGTGTATTTAGAAAGATTATCTGCCCAAAGTAAACAGCTGAGATAATCATGGTATGCTCTTTTTAGATATTAACTACATTGCAAAAAAAATTTTAGTTTCATTAGAAAATATATTTTAGCACCATTAGTTTTTGAGGCTTGGGTTTTTATAACCACAATTTTAACCTAAGTTCACCAACAAAGCTATCAAGCAGAAGCGAATGTATGAAGAGATTTGTGGCCATCTTTTTTTTTTTTTTTTTTTTTTTTTTTTTTGACACTGAGTTTCACTCCTGTTGCCCAGGGTGGAATGCAATGGCATGATCTTGGCTCACTGCAACCTCTGCCCCCCGGGTTCAAGCAATTCTCCTGCCTCAGCCTCCTGAGTAGCTGGGATTACAAGGCATGCGCCACCACGCCCAGCTAATTTTGTATTTTTAGTAGAGACAGGGGTTTCTCCATGTTGGTCAGGTTGTCTCGAACTCCCAGCCTCAGGTGATCCGCCCACCTCAGCCTCCCAAAGTGCTGGGATTACAGGCGTGAGCCACCACGCCCAGCCTGTGGCCATCTTTATATACCCACAACCACCAGTTACGTCCACTAAGTACCTTAATAAAGAAAATGGGAGAATACACTGTGTATAGTATTAAGCATGTTATTTTATATTCTTCAGATGGGAACGTGAGCTCATGGAAACATCTTTTAAGAAGACAAAGTTTCCTAAAGGGAATGGAGTAGGCAGCAAAGAGTTAAGTGAACTGAAACTTAAAAGATGCAGTTCTCCCACAGCCAGGCAAATTTCAATAAATCATAAACAAATTATAAATATCTTTAGGAGCAGAAGAGCAGAAAAGAAGGATTTGACTCTTAGTGACAGGCTGAAAAATTCTTTTTCAAACAGATCAAGGAACTGATCCCATTTATACAAGCCTGGTTAAGCAAGGGGCTTACAACTGTATGAATGCAATAATCTGGATAATACAAGCCCTCCAAAATATCAATCCTCTGTGCAGAGTCAGTTTTATGTTTGTTGTTTGTTCTTGTTTTGTTTTATTTGGAAGGAGGAGGTATTTTTTTTCTTCAAATCTTAAATAACAAGTTAATAGCCCCACTTAATGGGTTCTTCCCCAAAAGTCACCAATTATATTGCTAACTCAAACAAGAGGCAACTTTTCATTGAACTTCCAAATCAACTTTTTCTTATAATGCTACATACACTGAACATGTTCATATCATTGAGTCAGCTCGTGATTAAGAACACAGAACCCAAGCCCAGTCTGCCTGCATTCATTATCCAGCTCTGCCATTTAATAGCTGTGGGACATTGGGTAAATTACTTCACTTTTCTATGCCTCATTTTTCTGGGCCGTATATAAAACAAGAATGATAATACTTAACCATTAGGATCTTTTGCTGGAGTGGTTTGTGAAGGCATTACAATGCCTGGTAGATATTAAGTGCAATATACATTTACCTCTTGTTGATGCTATTGTTATTATTTAAATAATATATATTTAAAGTGATTGATGCTATTTAAAGTGTCAGTTTATTGACCCATAGACACTGAAAGGCAAGAACAATGTATACAATTATGCTATGGGGCAACGGTATATCCTAATCGTGATTTCAGTCCTAGTTCAGTTTACAAGTATAAAATAGCATCAGGGCAGCATTTCAGCTACTGGATGATTTGGAAAAGTCCCTACAACAGGCAACCATTAATGTATTTGATATCATTTTAGATTAGTTTTGCCTGTTTTAGAGCTTCATATAAATGGAAGCATACAGTATATAGTCTTGTTATTTGTTTTTGGGGGGGTTTTGGGGGGTTTTTGTTTTGTTTGAGACAGCGTCTCACTCTGTCTCCCAGGCTGGAGTGCAGTGACATGATCATAGCTCACCGTAGTCTTAAACTCCTGGGCTCATGTGATCCTCCCACCTCAGCCTCCTGAGTAGTAGTTAGAACTACAGGCAGGTGCCACCGTGCCCAGCTAACTTCTTTTTTAGAGATGGGGTCTCACTATGTTGCCCAGGCTGGTATTAAACTCCTGGGCTCAAGTGATCCTCCCACCTCAGCTTCTCAAATTTTTGGCATTACAGATATGAGCCACTGTGCCCAGCCATAGATATTCTTATGTGCCTGGCTTCTTTTGCTCAACATGTTTTTGAGATTTGTCTATAGTGTTATATTTTGTTCATTTTTATTGTGACATAATATTCCACTGTTAGAATACACCATGACTTGTTCATCTGTTCCTTTGGTGGGTATTTAAATTGTGTCCATTTTTTGCTATATAAATAAAACTGCTATGAATACTTATAAATAAGTTTTTATTTTGTGTATTTCAAAAACAGAGAAAACAATTTCATTTCACTTAGAGATGATGATTAACTAAGACACTTTTTATAAAGAAGAACAGAAAAGAGAATGTGATTCTATCAGATAGTAAAATATATTATAAAGGTATAGTAATTAACACAGTTTAGTATTGCTTCAGAGACAGAAATTAAACCAAAGAAGTAGAATAAAGCCCCACATATATATAAGTACTTAAAATGAGAATGAAATAACACTGCAGAGGGGTAAGGAAAAGGTGAACTTTTCAATCAATTTAGCTATAAATTCACACAGAAAAAAATGAAATTAAATTTTTCTCCATAGAATTCACAAAAGTTAAAGGGAGGTGGTTTATAAACCTAAATATAAAAGGTGATAATATGAGGGATCTTCAAAAAGTTCATTGGAGATGCATGTTTTGAAAAAACTATGCATGGATTTCGAAATATTTTGCACCAAAATAAACTCATACTAGTTTGTTAGACCATATCTTAATAGGATCTAGTTTGAGGCATTAAGGATAAAACGTCAGTTTGAAAAAAGTCCGCATCAGAATAACAGGAGTTCTCCTAAAATTGAAGCAAGTAAAGATACCAAATTTATGAAATTTATGGTGAAGCTAGGTGGAAGGATCGTGAAATCATTGATGTTTTACAAAAAGCTTAAGGAGACAGTGTCCACAAAGAAATCAGCAATTTGCAAATGGATAACTCATTTTAAGAAGGGACAAGATGGTTTTGAAAATAAAGGTCCAATTTATCATCACAAATACTTCAATTTGTGAGTGTAAACCGAAAATTCTAAGTCCCCCATCCAACTGCATGGACCCCTCCTCTCAGCCAAGGGCATTCTAAGGTAAACCTGAAACACTAGTTCAGGCTATCCTGGGAATGGGTGGTCGGACATGCCTCATTATACCTTTCTCCCATTAAAATTCAGGCACAGCTGACCAGCATTAACATTAAAATGAGACCGTAAGACCGACAGAACAGTCTTTTTATAGCAAGAAGATACCAACATGACAGATAGCAAGGCCTGTTAGAAACCAAAGTATTTTACCCCAAAATATGTTTCTTTGCCATTTCTTGAAACAGCCCTGCAAAGTTGTCTCTTGTGGGGCAAATCTACATTTTGTGTAGAGAATCCCCTTCCCTTTTCAGGCATTTTTCCTGATCCAGGAGAGAATCAACTGGGAGTTTGGAACTTTTTTAAGTCTGGAAAGAAACATTTGCAACCTGTTCTCTCTGAAGCCTACTGCCTGGAGGCTTCATCTGCATAATGGAAACCTTGGTCATCACAACCCCTTATCTTAGCCCAGGCATTCCTTTCTATTGATTCTAGGTCTTTAGACAGTAATTTAACTCTTTCAACCAATTGGCAGTCAGAAAATCATTGAATTCACCTATGACCTGGAAGCCCCTGCTTTGAGTTGTCCCACCTTTTCAGACCAAACCAATGTACATCTTACACGTATTGATTGATGTCTTACGTCTCCCTAAAGTGTATAAATCTAAGCTGTAGCCTGATCATCTCAGGCACATGTTCTTAGGACTCCTTGGGAATGTGCCCCAGGCTATTAGTCGCTCATATTTGGTGCAGAATCAAACTCTTCTTATATTTTACAGAGTTTGACTCTTTTCATTGACATGAGAAAAAAATTAATGGTGTTCATCCCCTAATTGAAAAGGACCAACAATTAAGAACAGAGACAATAGCCAACATCATAGACATTGCGATTGATTTGGCTTACACAATCTGACGGTAAAATTAAAGTTGAGAAAATTTTCCACTCAGTGAGTGCCAAAACCACTGCACCCAGATTAGCTGCCAACAGTAGCAAAGCTTTCAATGAAAATGTTAAACAAGTGGGATCAAGATCCTGAAGCATTTCTTTGAAGAACTGTAACAGGAGATGAAACATGGCTTTACCGGTATGCTCCTGAAGACAAAGCACAATCAAAGCAATGGCTACCAAGAGGTGGACGTGGTCCAGTCAAAGCAAAAGCAGCCCAGTCAAAAGCAAAGGTCATGGCAACAATTTTTAGGGATGCTCAAGGCATTTTGCTTGTTGACTTTCTGAAGGGCCAAAGAATTATAATATCTGCTTATTATGAGAATGTTTTGAGAAACTTAGCCAAAGCTTTAGCAGAAAGATGCCCAGGAAAGCTTCACCAGAGAGTTCTGCACCATGGCAATGCTCCCGTTTATTCTTTTCTCATTTAACAAGGGCAAATTGGGAAGAGTTTCTACAGTCCTGATTTGTCTCCTTCTGACTTCTCTTTGTTTCCTAATCTTTAAAAAATCTTTAAGGGACACTCATTTTTCTTTAGGTAATAATGTTAAAAAAGACTGCATTGACATGGTTAAATTCCCAAGACCCTCAGTTCTTTAGGAATGCACTAAAGAAAGGTCTGGATGATTGATGACAAAAGTGTCTAGAACTTGATGGAGCTTAATTTGAGAAATAAAGTTTATATTTTTTATTTTTACCTTTTAATTCCATTATTCCGTGAACTTTTTGAAGATCCCTTGCATAAAGCATTTAAAAGATAATAAAGGAGAATGTAATCATGACCTTGGATTGAGGCAGGGTTTTCTAAATAATATACGTAAAGAGCTAGCCACAGAGGAAATGATTGATAAATTGGAATATATTAAATCAAGATCTTCTGTTTATTAAAAAAACTTAAAATGATTGAAATACAAGACAAAGAATGAGAAAAGATATTTGCAAAATATAGAAATGAGAAAAGACTATTATCTAGAATGTATAAGAATTCTTGCAAATCAATGCGAAAAAGCATCAGACAACCTAATAAAAAAAATTAGCAAAAGCTTAAATAAGCACTTTTATAAGTGAAAAATAAAAAACAGCCAATAAACATTTTTAACTTTTATTTTAAGTTCAGGGGTACATGTGCAGGTTTGTTACATAGGTAAACTATGTCACAGGAGTTTATTGTAAAGATTATCTCATCACCCAGGTATTAAGCCTAATGTCCATTAGTATTTTTCCAAATCCTCTCCTCCATCCCACCCTCCACCCTCTAGTAGGCCTCAATGTGTGTTGTTCCACGCTATATGTCCTATACTCTCATTATTTAGCTCCCAGTTATGAGTGAGAACAGGCAGCATTTGATTTTTTGTTCCCATATTAGTTTACTAAGGTTAGGCATCCAACTCCATCCATGTCCCTGCAAAGGACATGATCTCATTCTTTTTTGTGGCTGAATAGTATTCCATGGTGTATTTGTATCATGTTTTCTTTATCCAGTCTATCATTGATGGGCATTTAAGTTGATTCCATGTCTTTGCTATTGTGAATAGTGCTGCAATTAACATACACATGAATTTTTTTATAATAGAACAATATATATTTCTGTAGTTATATACCCAGTAATGGGATTACTCGGTCAAATGGTATTTCTGTCTTTAGGTGTTTGAGGAATCACCACACTGTCTCCCACAATGGTTGAACTAATTTACACTCCCAACAACAGTGTATTAATGTTCCTTTTTCTCCACAACCTTGGCTGTGATAGCCACAGGAGATAGACAAATTTCTAGGCAGACAGGATGGGTCCTTGGTGAAACTCAACCTTCAAGCCAAAGACAGTCTAAAGCCTGAAAACTGAGCTACTAATTCAGGATAGAAGCCACAGATCTGAGTGAGAACTTCCATCCCCACCTTATCCACTGTCTCTCAATAGGTTCTTTCTGAATGATGCCTTTTAACCAATTGAATGGTGTCTTTTCCAAGCCCACCCATAAACCAATCAGCACACGTTCCCCTATTCTAAGCCCATAAAAACCCTGGACTCAGCCTCACTGATGGCAGTCTACTTTTGGGTCCCCTCTTGCTGAGGGCTTTCTTTCTGTCACTCAATAAAATTCAACTCTGCCTTACTCACTCTCCAATGTCCATGTACCTCACTCCTCTTGGTCATTAGACAAGAACTCAGAACTCACCAAACTGCAGGAGTGAAAGAGCAGTAACGCTCCCTCCCACTCGCTGAACTACGGGAGTAAAGAAGTTGATTGGTGCCACTCTCTCCCTCTCGCCAAACTACAGGAGTGAAGAAGCCACTGGGAGCCACTCCCTCTCACTCACCGAACTATGGGAGTAAAGAAGCTGCAACATTTCTGGAGGCTCGTCCAGGTCTTCAGAAGGGTGAGTAAGAGCAGACCTGTGACCCTTTACTTTCATTTCTGAGGACTCTCATCCTCACTTTTTTTTCGAAAACAGATAAAACACCAAGTCTCTGTTAGACAGTTAAGGGTGAATAGACCAACTGCCAATCTACAAGACTCAGAGGACAGACTTGCTCGGGAGGACATTGTCAGTCCCCCTTCATCCTTGGGTGTTGGGAATGTTGGCCTTGTTCCAATCCAGTTTCCTTTCCTGGAAGTCTAGCCATTACGTAGGTTGGAATAAAGTCCTGAACAACTGAAGGTATCTGGCCAAGGCACACTTTGGTGTTACCTGAAGACTCCTGGACCAGCTCCAATCCCCCACAGCCCATTCAGGTGCCAGGCCAAGGCTTTCAGTCCTTCCTATCTAATTTTCTTTCTTTCAAGAGTGTCCTGACTGCTATCCCCTATTTATAGACAATGTTACCGGTGTTTTTGCAACGAAAAGAGATACTATTACTGGATAGAATGAGGACTTGGCTTAGTCATCAGGAGTGTAATCCAGAACAATGTTGCTTCTGTCTATTCTTAGAAATAGAGGGATGTAACAATTAAGAGAGTTTTCTTTCCCCTGTTGAAGAAACTCATTACCACAGAACAAGAGGCTATTTCCCCCAGCCACCTTCCCTCCTCTGCATTTAAATTGCTTTTTTCCACCCTGTCAGAGTCAACATAATCCTGCGAATACAAGGAGCTTTTCCATGCAAGGGATTAATGTTTTCCTTTTGGGAGGCATCTTATTAGGCCAGGTCCCCAATTCCCAGGATTCCCTTTCTTTCCTTTGTTTGAGGAGGATCTGGTTCCACACCTTCACCTTAGTATTACTCCATTGTATTTTCCAAGCTTCGATTTGGAGCCCTATAAAGAAAACTAGATTTGAGGGACCAAGAGGCAGTCAACAGCAAAAGGCTAGGGCACAGCACAGGTAAGAATGACTATCCCTGCCAATTAGGCCTTCCCACTTCATGGGTGGAGGTGATGTTCATATCCATGATGTAGACACCACCAGCCCATCCATGGCACCAGTACTAGGTGCTGAGATTCAGGGGGTGACTCAAATTCAAGAGGATAGAGAAGAGTCTAAAGGATACCTTTTCTCCCCTCTCTCTTTTCAGATGGGTAACAAACTATTTTCAGCCTGCACTCCTCTAGAGTGCATCCTGAATCACTGGGAATCCTTTGACCTGCAGATTCTGAAGAGAAAATGCTGTATATTCCTTTGCACAAGGGCTTGGCCAGGTTATAAGCAGCAGGATGGAGAAGCCTGGCCTCTGGAGGGAAGTATCAACTTTAATGCTAACCTGCAGCTGGACCGTTTCTGTAAACATGGAGGCAAATGGTCTGAGGTCTCATACATGCAGGTTTTCTTTGCCTTGCAGGATAATCTGGACCTTTGCTGATATTGTAGGATAGATCCAGCCTGCCTAGCAGTCATCTCAGGAGAGGCTGCAAAGGACAGTCCCAGGGAAGTAAACCCCAGGGAAGTAAATTCCAGGGAAGTAAACCCCAGAGGTGCCTCCAGCAGGGGGATCAGACCCCTCCAGTCCTACTCCTGGTCCATCATGTCCTCCCTATCCAGGTTCTCTCTCAAGCTTGTCCTCTCCTAGGAATCCTCGTTTCAGGCAGGTCCCAGCCTCACTCATGGCCCTACAAGAGATGCCTTGTGAATATGGCCCCATTAAGGTATAGACGTGTTTACTCATGTCTTTTTTCTACAGGACTTAAGACAAATTAGGGGGGATCTTGGTAAGTTTTCAGATGACCCTGAAGGGTATACAGAGGCTTTCCAGAATTTAAACCAAGTATTTGAACTCTCCTGGAAGGATGTTATGTTACTTTTGAATCAAACTTTGACTACCACTGAGAAGCAAACAGCCCTGCAAGCAGCAGAGAAGTTTGTGGATGAGCTTTGTATCTCATACAGTGCCAAGAAAGGGAGAGGATATGCAAGAAAAAGACAGAAAAATCTATTGGCCACCCTGCAGGCTTACAAACCCCAGAATCCCAAAGATGCACCTGTTAACTGCGACAAATGTGGCAAACCAGGGAATGTTAAAAACGACTGCCCAGGCAGCATGAGGAAGCCAGCTCGACCCTGTCCAATCTGTGGTGGGGACCACTGGAGGGTGGACTGTCCCCAGAGATGCAGGTCACTGGGTCCAAAGCCAGTCTCACAAGTGTCTAACAGGATTGATGGGCCCCAGGGCTCCTGTCCCTGGCTCTGACAGCTCAGACTGCCATTACCATCCAGGAGCCCTGAATGATTCTGGAGGTCAAAGGGAGGAAGGTGAACTTCTTCCTGGATAGCAGAGCAGCCATTTCTATTCTCCTCTCCAATCCAGGCCTCCCTTCTTCCCTTAGCATGACCATGAAGGGTGTCTCAGGAAAGCTTTTAACCTGATATTTTTCCAACCCCTTAGTTGTAGTTGGGGAGACCTCGTTTTTACTCATGTCTTTTTAATCATGCCCGAAAGCCCAATTCCTCTGGGAGGCAGGGATAGTTTAGCTTATATGTGAACCACCATCCTTATGGCTCCAGGACACACTCCTTGCCTCCCCCTGGTGGAGACTGATATCAATCCAGAAATTTGGGCAATTCAAGGGAAAATTGGCTGAGCCACAACCACCATACTGATCTGGATCCACCTTAAGGATCCCACCTCCTTCCCTAACCAGAAAAAAAATCCCCTAAAACTAGAAGCTAGGAAAGGGCTAGAAGCCATCATTGATAACTTCAGGATGCAGGCCCTCCTCAAACCCTGCAACAGCCCTTCTAGTGCCCCAATATTGGGAGTACAGAAACACAATGGGGAATGGAGACTGATCCAGGACTTCTGCCTCATTCATGAGGCTGTAGTTCCAATTCATCCAGTGTTTCCCAATCCCTATACCTTCATAACTCAAATACCTGAGGAAACTAAATGGTTCACAGTCCTGCACCTAAAGGACACATTTTTTTGCAAATTGCTACATCCTGACTCCCAATATTTGTTTGCATTCAAGGGTCTCTCCAACTAGACCACCCAGTTAACCTGGATGGTGCTACTCCGAGGATTCTGGGGTAGTCCTCATCTGTTTGGACAGGCATTCTCAAAAGATCTCTCTGGGTTCCTTCATACTTGGGTTAAAGTTTTACAAAATGTAGATGACATTCTCCTTTGTGCCCCAACTGAGGAAATCTCTCAGGAAGACACTAAGCCTCTTCTTAATTTTCTAGCTAACAGAGGATATGAGGTCTCAAAATCTAAGGCTCAGCTCTGTCAGACTTCAGTGAAGTGCTTAGGTCTAGTCTTGTCAGAGGGGACCAGGGCACTGGGTGAAGAAAGGATTAACCCTGTCTCCTCCTTTCCCTTCCCCCAAACCCTCAAACAACTGAGGGGATTCTTGGGCATGACAGGATTCTGCAGATTATGGATACCTGGGTACAATGAGATAGCTCATCCCTTGTATCACCTAATAAACTCAGGCAGCCAAGATCACTCCGGAATTTGGGAACCAGAGGCCAGAAGGGCCTTTGACCAATTGAAATAAGCCTTGCTTGGGGCACCAGCCCTTAGTCTTCCCATAGGGAAGTTGTTCAATCTTTATGTATCAAAAAGGAAGGAAATGGCCTTGGGAGTTCTAACCCAGGCCTGAGGTCCAGCCCAGCAGCCTGTAGGCTACCTAAGCAAGGAGCTTGATTTGGTAGCTAAAGGATGGCTAGCCTGCCTTCCAGGCAGTTGCAGTGGCAGCTTTGCTAGTGCCAGAGGCTACTAAGTTAACCATGGAGAATAATAACATAATGTGGCAGGACTGCTGTCTTCTAAGGGGAGTCTCTAGCTAACAGACAACTGCCTCCTCAAATATCAGGCTCTGCTATTGGAGGGATCTACAGTTCAGTTAAGGACCCGTCTTGGGGCCAGGCGCGGTGCTCACGCCTGTAATCCCAGCACTTTGGGAGACTGAGGCGGGCAGATCGCAAGGTCAGGAGACTGAGACCATCCTGGATAACACAGTGAAACCCCTTCTCTACTAAAAACAATACAAAAAATTAGCCAGGCGTTGTGGCGGGCGCCTGTAGTCCCAGCTACTTGGGAGGCTGAGGCAGGAGAATGGCTTGAACCCAGGAGGCGGAGCTTGCAGTGAGCCAAGATCGCCCCACTGCACTCTAGACTGGGAGAGAGAGCGAGACTCCGTCTCAAAAAAATAAAAAAAGAAAAAAAAGAACCTGTCTTGGCTAACACGTGAAACCACGTCTCTACTAAAAATACAAAAAATTAGCCAGGCGTGATGGCGGGCGCCTATAGTCCCAGTGACTTGAGAGGCTGAGGCAGGAGAATGGCGTGAACCCGGGAGGCGGAGCTTGCAGTCAGCCGAGACAGCACTACTGCACTCCAGCCTGGGCGACAGAGCGAGACTCCGTCAAAAAAAAAAAAAGAACCTGTCCCTGTCTAAAACCAGCCACCTTCCTCCCAGAGGAACCTGAGGAGACTGAACATGACTGCAAACAGATAGCAGTGCAAACCTATGCAGCCAGAGAGGCCCGCAAGGAAATCTCCTTAGAGAACCCAGACTGGACTCTCTTTATGGATGGAAGTTCTTTTGTAGAACAAGGGATCCATGAAGCAGGGTATGCAGCAGTCACCTTGAATGACACTATTGAGAGTGCACCTCTCTTCGGGCACAATTTCTCAACAGCTGAGCTTGAGGGTGCTTGAATTAAGCAGAAGGAAAGCAGTTGGCATTTATACTGATTATAAGCATGCTTTTCTAGTCCTTCATGCTCATCCCACTATCTGGAAAGAGAGACTTTCTCACAGCTAATGGGTTTGCCATTAAATACTATCAATAAATTAATAGACTATTATCCTCAGTTTTCCTTTCATGGGAAGTGGCAGTAATACATTGTAAAGGCCACCATAGGGGATGGATGAAAGAGCTGAGGGAAATAAACTGGCAGACCAAGCAGCTAAATCAGCAATGAGAGGGTCCCAGATTTCTGATCCACTTGAAGCCCCTCTGATCTAGGAGGGCTCTGTAACAGAAATAAAAAACTCAATATTCTCCTGCAGAAACAGAATGGGCCACCTCTTGGGGATACACCTTTTAGCCCTTAGAGTGGCTACAATAAGAGGATGGCAAACTTCATCTACCAGCTTCTAGCCAATGGAAAGTTCTTAAAATTCTTCACCAAGCCTTCCACCTGGGAAAGGATAAAACCTATTAATTGGCCCAAAGGTTGTTCTCAGGTAAAAAATCTGCTAAAATGATCAAACAGCTCATTAATGCTTGTGAGACTTGCCTTAAAAATAATCCTCTCAATTGATGGCCTCTCTCAGCAAGAACCCAAAGAATGGGAGGCCACCCAGGAAAAGACTAGCATATAGATTTCACCCATATGCCAAAGATAAGGGGCATCCAGTACCTCCAGGTTTGGGTAGATACCTTCACTAACTGGGTAGAAGCATTTCCATGTTGAACAGAGAAACCCAATGAGGTAATAAAAGTACCAGTTGATGAGACAGTTCCTCACTTTGGATGCCCTAAGTACCTCCAGAGTGATAATGGCCCCTCGTTCAAGGCAGCTATCACCCAGGGGGTCTCAGAGGCACTAGGCATACAATACCATCTTCATAGTGCTTAGAGACCACAATCCTTGGGAAAGGTAGAAAAGACAAATGATATTATCAAAAGGCACCTCAGAAAACTGTCTCAGGAGACTCATCTCCCCTGGATTACTCTTCTTCCTATTGCCCTACTATGTGTTAGAAACACCCCTTTGAAACTGAGGTTAAGTCCCTTCAAAATGATATATGGACAGCATTTTCTCACCAATTATTTATTGCTAGACCAAGAAACTTCTTATTTGATTAAACATGTAACTTCTTTGGCCCATTTCCAACAGGAACTGAAACAACTATTGGAGGCCCAATCCCGTGAACTAGGGGCCCACTTTATTCAACCCAGGGGACCTAGTACTGGTAAAGGCTCTTCCTTCTCTTTTTCCCTCTCTAGGCCTGGATTGGGCGGGAACTTAGACTGCACTTCTTTCTACTCTTTCAGCAGTAAAGGTCACTGGAATAGATTATTGGATTCATATACTCAAGTAAAGGCCTGGAGAACTGACAGAATGACTTCTGTTGACCCAGAAGAGCACCCGAAGTACCAATGTGAAGAGAGACCTTGAGCTGATGATCAGAAAAGATAAGTATCAATAATTAACCTTCCATGGATATCCTCTTTATAGTCTTGCTTATACTTGTTCTTCTTGCCTTTGTTCTTTTCCTCACCATAAGGCATATTTGCCAAGGATCCCTTAATTCTGAACACCCATGAGATTATCTACTCTCCTAAACTGCTATCTCTTCTAAAATGTAACTGCCCTCCCCTATACAAGATTTTATTTATTTCACAAGGGTGAAACAGCTCTGGTCACAACATTGTTTTCAGAATGACTAGTCTATTTTACTTCTTGTTTCTGTTATCTCTCGCATTGGCATGGATTTTTCCCTTTTAGCTCCTCTTTGTATAATCTCATAATTGGTCCATGAATACTTAACCTTCTTGTAAAATTTGTTTCTTCTCACCTAGAGGCCATCGAATGGTAAATGGTCATGCAAATGGAGCCTTGAATGATGGCCTTCTTTTTACCAGGGACCCTTAAATAGGCCTCTGAGAGAGATCCGACTGCCATTTTCCCAAAACAATGCCCCCTGTCAGCATGAAGCAGGTAGAGTAGTCATTATCCCTATCCTAATGGCAGCTAGATATACCTCTTCAGAGGGGGAATTGATAGGGACAGGAGACAGACAAATTCCTAGGCAGATAGGGACAGGTCCCTGGTGAAACTTGACCTTCAAGCCAAGGACAGTCTAATGCCTAAAAACCAAGCTACCAGTTTTGGATAGAATCCATGGACCTGAGTGAGAACTTCCATCCCCATCTTACCCACTCTCTCTCGATGAGTTCTTTCTGAATGATGCCTTTTAACAAATCGAATGGTGCCTTTTTCAAGCCCACCCATAAGCAATAAGCACATATTCCCCCATTCTAACCCCATAAAAACCCTGGACTCAGCCTTACAGATGGCAACCCACTTTCAGGTTCTCTTTGCTGCTGAGAGCTTTCTTTCTGTTGCTCAATAAAATTCTACTCTGTCTTGTTCACTGTCCAGTGTCTGTGTACCTAATTCCACTTGGTCATGAGACAAGAACCTGGAACTCGCCAAACTGCAGGAGTGAAAGAGCTGTAACACTCCCTTCTCCTCACTGAACTACAGGAATGAAGAAGCCACTGGGTGTCTCTCCCTTCTGCTCGCTGAACTATGGGACTAAAGAAGCTGCAACATCAGCATCTGTTATTTTTTGACTTTTTAATAATAGCCATTCTGACTGGTGTGAGATGGTATCTCATTGTGGTTTTGATTTGCATTTCTGTAATGATAAGTGATGTTGAGATTATTTTCATATGATTGTTGGTCACATAGATGTCTTCTTTTGAAAAGTGCCTGTTCATGTCCTTTGCCCACTTTTTAATGGGGTTGTTTGGACAATAAACGTTCTTAAATGTGCTCAACCCTATAAGTAATAAGAAAAAATGCACATTGAAACACCATATGATACCACTGTTCACCTACCACAATGGCTAAAATGAAAGAAATAATAACAAATTTAAACAAGAATATGGAGCAACTGGAACTCACACACTGCTGGTTGTAATGTAAATTTGCACAAGCACTTCAGAAAACTGTCACTATCTATAAAACTGAACATATGTAAACCCTTTATGGAAGGACCTTGAAGAGAGTAATAGAAAAAGTCTGAAAGCCTAGAAAACTGTGTTAGTAGATGCCTGTATTAGTCCACTTTAAAAGTGCTATAAAGAACTACCTGAGACTGGGTAACTTATAAAGAAAAGAGGTTTAATTGACAAGAAGGCAAAGGGGAAGAAAGGCACATCTTACATAGCAGCAGAGGAGAGAGAAAGAAGAAGTGCCACACTTCCTCTTTCTTAAAACTATCTTCTTAAAACACTTCTTAAAACTATCAGATCTCATGAGAACTCTCTTACTATCATGAGAACAGCATGGGGAAAACCGCTGCCATGATTCAGTCACCTCCCACCAGGTACCTCCCTAATATGTGGGGATTACAGTTCAAGATGAGATTTGAGTGGGAACACAGAGCCAAACCATATCACACTGAGAGGTGAAGCCAGCTGGGCTTCTGGGTAGGGTGGGGACTTGGAGAACTTTTCTGTCTAGCTAAAGGATTGTAAACACACCAATCAGTGCTCTGTGTCTAGCTAAAGGTTTGTAAATGCACCAATGAGCACTCTTTAAAATGGACCAATCAGTGCTCTGTAAAATGGACCAGCAGGTGCTGTAAAGACACATGCACACATATGTTTATTGTGGCACTATTCACAATAGCAAAGACTTGGAACCAACCCAAATGTCCATCAGTGATAGACTGGATTAAGAAAATGTGGCACATATACAGCATGGAATACTATGCAGCCATAAAAAAGGATGAGTTCATGTCCTTTGTAGGGACATGGATGAAGCTGGAAACCATCATTCTGAGCAAACTATCGCAAGGACAAAAAACCAAACACTGCATGTTCTCACTCATAGGTAGGAATTGAACAATGAGAGCACTTGGACACAGGATGGGGAACATCACGCACCGGGGCCTGTTGTGGGGTGGCGGGAGAGGGGAGGGATAGCATTAGGAGCTATACCTAATGTAAATGACGAGTTAATGGGTGCAGCACACCAACATGGCACATGTATACATATGTAACAAACCTGCATGTTGTGCACATGTACCCTAGAACTTAAAGTATAATAATAATAATTTTTTTAAAATGGACCAGCAGGACGTGGGCAGGGCCAAATAAGGGAATAAAGGCTGGCCACCCAAGCCAGCAGCAGCAACCCGCTCAGGTCCCCTTCCATGCTGTGGACTTTGTTCTTTTGCTCTTCACAATAAAACTTGCTGCTGCTCAGTCTTTGGGTCCACACTACCTTTATGAGCTATAACACTTACTGTGAAGGTCTCTGGCTTCACTCCTGAAGTCAGAGAGACCACGAACCCACCGGAAGGAACAAACAACTCTGGACGCACCACCTTTAAGAGCTGTAACACTCACTGCAAAGGTCTGCGTCTTCACTCCTGAAGTCAGGCGAGACCATGAACCCACCAGAAGGAACCAATTCCGGACACAATACCACCCCTGGACACTCCCAAATTTTATGTCCTTCTCACATTTCAAAACACAATCATGCCTTCCCAACAGTCCCCCAGTGTCTTAACTCATTCCAGCATTAGCCTAAAAGTCCAAGTCCAAAGACTCATCTGAGACAAGTCCCTTTCACCTATGAGCCCATAAAATAAAAAGTTAGTTACTTACAAGATACAGTGGGGATACAGGCATTGGGTAAATGCTTCCATTCCAAATGGGAGGAATTGGCCAAAACAAAGGGGCTATAGGCCACATGCAAGTCCAAAACCCAACAGGGCTGTCATTAAATCTTAAAGTGCCAAAATAGTCTTCTTTTACTCTATGTCTCAAAACCAGGGCATGCTGATGCAAGAAGTGGGCTCACAAGGCCTTAGGCAGCTCTGCCCTTGTGGCTCTGCAGGATACAGCTCCCTTGGCTGCTTTCACAGGCTGGCATTTAGTTCCTGCAGCTTTTCCAGATGTGCAGTGCAAGCTGTTGATGGATCTACCAGTCTGGGGTCTGGAGGATTCTCACAGCTCCTCTAGGCAGTGCCCCAGTGGGAACTCTGTGTGGGGGCTTCAACCCCACATTTCCCCTCTGCATTGCCCTAGTAAAGGTTCTCCATGAGGGCTCTGCCCCTGCAGCAGACTTCTGCCTGGACATCCAGGCATTTCCATACATCCTCTGAAATCTAGGCAGAGGCTCACAAAGCTCAACTCCTGTCTTCTGTGCACCTGTAGGCCCAACACCATATGGAAGCCACCAAGGCTTGGGGCTTGCACCCTCTGAAGCAATTCCCTGAGCTGTACTTTGGCCTCTTTTAGCCATGGCTGGAGGTGGAGTGGCTGGGATATAGGGTGCCATGTCCTGAGGCTGCACAGAGCAGCAGGGCCTTTGACCTGGTCCATGAAACCATTTTTTCCTCCCTAGGCCCCCAGGCCTGTGATGGGAGGGGCTGCTGTGAAGATCTCTGAAATGTCCTGGAGACATTTTTCCCATTTTCTTGGCTATTCACATTTGGCTCCTTGTTACTTATGCAAATTTATGCAGCCAGCTTGAATTTCTCCCCAGAAAATGGGGTTTTCTTTCTACCACATGGACAGGCTGCAAATTTTCCAAACTTTAATGTTCTGCTTCCCTTTTAAACATAAGTTCCAGTTTCAGATCATCTCTTTGTGAATGCATATGACTGTACACTTTCAGAGAAAGCCAGGTCAACTCTTGAATGCTTTGCTGCTTAGAGATTTATTCTGCCAGATACCCTAAATTATCTCTCTCAAGTTCATAGCTCCACAGATCTCTAGGGCAGGGGCCAAATGCTGCCAGTCTCTTTGCTAAAGCATAGCAAGTCTGACCTTTGTTCTAGTTCCCAATAAGTTCCTCATCTCCACCTGAGACTACCTCACCCTGAACTTCATTTCCATATCACTATCAGCATTTTGGACAAAATCATTCAAGCCTCTAGGAAGTCACAAACTTTCCCACATCTTTCTTTTTCTGAGCCCTCTAAACTGTTCCAACCTCTGCCTCTTACCCAGTTCCAAAGTCACTTCCACATTTTCAGGTTATCTTTATAGCTGTACCCCACTCTTGGTACCAGTTTTCTGTATTAGTCAGTTTTCACACTGCTACAAAGAACTACCTGAAACTGGGTAATTTATAAAGAAAAGAGATTTAATTGACTCACAGTTCTGTGTGGCTTAGGAGGCCTCAGGAAGCTTACAATTATGGCAGAAGGCAAAGGGGAAGGCAAGGCACATCTTACATGGTGGCAGGAGAAAGAGAGGGGGGAGGAAATGCCACACTTTTAAACCGTCAGATCTCATGACAATTCACTCATTATCATAAGAACAGCATGAGGGAAACCACCCCCATGATCTAATCACCTCCCATCAGATCGCTCCCTAATATGTAGGAATTACAATTCGAGATGAGATTTGGGTAGGGATGCAGAGCCACACCATATCAATGCCTAATTTCCTTAGAGGAGACTTCAGATGGCAGCTTAAAGGATAGTGAAGAAGTGTCATTGAAAACTATAATGAAAGAGATTTGTACTATATAGAGGAAGATGCTACAACATTGTTGCCTGCAATAACATAAAGAGTATAAAAAATGTACTTAATGAATTATGTGACCTACCTGAGTAGATTCCATTTAGACTTTTGAAGATGCCAACAGGTTTCTTCTGGTTGTGTATGGTAAAATATAAAAGAAGATAGATAAGCTAATGACAATTAAATCAAAAGAAGCCAGGAATTGTTGGGATTAAAAATTCTCAGCCTCTCCAGATGATAACTGACACTAATATTAATAAATGACTGTTGAACAAAGTTGAATCAAGAGACTCACAGAAAAGCTGAGAGTATGGTTATAAAAATATTTTAAGACCTTAGAAATACCTCAGAACGCTTCATCAAACAATGGAGCTTCTTAAAAGCTTAAGGGTGCTGTTCCTCAGTAGGCTCAGCAGAAACTCAAGGTACAGTCAATGCCAATAATATTTATAGGAGACCAACAAATATTTAAAGAAAATAATAATTTCAAAAACATCTACTTAGACTGAAATGAACAGAAACAGTAAAAGAGGAAAAGAGGCCTTTGGACCCCAAAACCTCTATAGGCAGGAAGCAGGCTGAAAAAATTGTAGAGCTGCAAACACAAGCTACCTTTTACAGAAAGGAAAAATAACTTAAAAGCAGGAAAAAAGAGCCAGAATGCAGAGCCAAGAGCCACAAAAGAAATCATTCCTGGAATGGAAGAGGCCTCAGTCTTAATCAAAGAACCTCAAACATTCCAAATTCTAGCTGAATTTCAGAAGTTCTGTGGATTGGTTATTCCTGTGGTCTTTTTTCTCCCACTTTTAAACAGGAATTACTATAGCATTTATCTTACGTCAGTCTCACTATTGCATGCTTGGTAGATGTGGGGCACATACCTTGTCTTTTTAGTTCACAGGTCCTCATACGAAGAGTAACTATATTTGAGGAGAGGAACTTGAGGTTCCTAATCAAGGAACCACATCTGAAGAGCTTCATTCCCACCTGGATCTGAGCCAAATGATCAGATCTTTGATTTTGTTGTATACTTTGAGAGATATAGTATATAGTGTCCCTATGATAGCCATAAGGTCTGTGATATAGTGAGAGACCTAGTGTGCCTATGATAGCCATAAGACCCACACAAACATCTCAGAGAGCCAACACTATGTGTCACTTAGCAGCATGAGGCAGCCTGGCCTGGGGATTTTCTAACCCTGGCCCAGGGATTTCCAGGAGACAAAATCACCTCAGCACAATGCAACTCATAAACCTTAAAACATTGCTTACTATTACAAGAATAGCTTAAACTCTCTTTTTGAAAGAAACATCTGAGGCTGGGCGTGGTGGCTTATGCCTATAATCTCAGCACTTTGGGAAGCCGACACAGGAAGATTCCTTGAGAGCAGGAGTTCAAGATGAACCTAAGCAATATAGCAAGATCCCGTCTGTACAAAAAAATTTTTTTAATTAATTGGGCATGGTGATTTGTGTCTGTAGTTCTAGTTACTCAAGAAGCTGAGGTGGGAGGATTACTTGAGCCCAGGAGTTTGAGGCTGCAGCTATATGATCTCACCACTGCACTCCAGCCTGGGCTGGAGGCCCTGTCTCAAAAAAAAAAAAAAAGACCTGGCAACCAACCCAGATTGAATACAACTATGAGAAATGGGGAAGAATCTCCCAAACTCTGAGAATGGTCTTCAGAGGAAGACCCTCCTGGTCAGGTGGCCATCTGACTCCCGACTATCTGGCCCATGCTATAGTCTGCTCTTGCTATCCATCTTGTAAGAATGATGCCAGAATGAATAAACTGCTTGACTATCAGACAGTTTCTAAGACTCATCTTTGGTGCAAATTGGACCAAAAGGAAGTTGCTCCTGAGGAAGCTGGTTAACTAGGACTACTCAGGAGTCCTGAACGTGATACATTCCAAACTGATGCTGCAATGTGATGAGATCTGGGGAGGTCTTGAGAGAGGATGAGTATATTTTGCTTCCCCCTAGATTGCTTTCTCTAAGAAAAGCAAGATGCCATGTCATGAAGACTTTCAACCAGCCTAAGAAGAAGCCCATGTGGGGAAGAACCGAAGCCTCCTATTAATAGCCAGCACCAATTTACCAAGTATGTGGATGAAATGGATCCTTCTGCCCCATTCAGGCCTTCAGATGACAGTAGTGCCAACCAATATTTTAAATGAAATCTCATAAGAAAACTAGAGTCAGAAATACCCAGGTAATCTGCTCCCAAATAACTGACCTACAAAAACTATGAGATAAATGTTTATTATTATAAGCCACTTCATCTTGGTGACCATTGATTAAGAAGCAATAGATAACAAATATACCATATCTTGAATATGATTATTAATTTTCCCTCATTTATTTAATTTTGCCACGTGCATATATATTCATAAGCAATACATTATTTAGCTTTATATTTTTTTAACTTCATATAAAGGTACTCCTTTTTTTCTCATCATTATATTTGAGGGATCTGTTTAAGTTGTAACTGTTTAAACATTTTTACTGCTGTAAATATACCATTGTATGACTATACCACAATGTATCCATTCTCTAGTTGATGGGCCTTTGAGTTGTCTCTGTTTCCTTCCCCCTTCCCCCATTTCAAGCAATGCTGCTATAAGAATTCTTCCACACATCTACTTTTACAGATGTGCGAGAGTTTCTCTAGTTATTTTTGCTGTGTAACAAATTATCCCAAGACATAGCAGCTTAAAACAACAAAACTTAATGATTTCACAGTTTCTGTGGAACAGGAGTTTGAGAATGGTGGCCCTTGAGGTCTATCATGAAGCTGCAGTCAAGATGTCAGCTGGGGCTATAGTCATCTGAAGGCTTCACTGGGGTTGAAGGATCTTTCAAGATGGATCACTCACATGGCTCTTGGTGAGAGGACTTAGTATCTCCCCAGCTGTTGTCAGGAGACTTCAGTTCCTTGTCACTTAGGTCTCTCCAAAAGTCTGCTTGAGTGTCCTTATGACACGGCAGCTGGCTTCTCCCACACAGCAAGTGATCCGAGAGAAAGTAAGAAAGAAGTTATAATGCCTTTCATGACCTATTCATGGAAGTCATACACTGTCATTTCCACCATGTTTCATTCATTAGAAGTGAGTCACTAAGTCTAGTCCCTATTCAAGATGAGGGGATTAAGCCCCACCTATCACATAATTTCCAGACTTATTTTAAAACCACCACAGCTATGTTCCTACTTGATAGAATATATGCATCATCTGGAGCTGGAAGCCATTATCCTCAGCAAACTCACACAGGAACAGAAAACCAAACACTGTATGTGCTCACTTATAAGTGGGAGCTGAACAATGAGAACACATGGACACAGGGAGGCGAACAACACACACTGGGGCCTGCCAGAGGGTGGGGCCAGGGGAGGGAGAGAATTAGGAAAAATAGCTAATGCATGCTGGGCTTAATACCTAGGTGATGGGTTGATAGGTGCAGCAAATCACCATGGCATAAGTTTGCCTATGTAACAAACCTGCACATCCTGCACATGTACCCCAGAACTCAAAATTTAAATTAAAATTAAAATTTAAAAAAAGAATATATGCATCATCAACTTTGTTAGATAATGCCAAATTATACTCCAAAAATGTTGTACCAGTTTTTACACCTACTAGCAATAGATAACAATTTCTCTTTTTCCACATCCTCACCAACTGGCATTTGTGACACTCTTTATTATTTTCTTATCTTCTCATATTCTAATAAATCTGCGCTAGTTGACACTTCAACAAGACTAGCAAAATTACCTCAATTGCAGCACTTATTACATTGCATTGAGCAAAGACCAGAAAATGATGATGGAGTGAGACATGGATTATATGACTACCTGGAAAAATATCACTGCAGAAAGTGGAAACAGGCTGAGGCTCAGAACTGGGTGCATATTGGGTGTGTTTGAGGAAAAGCAAGGTCAGCCTAGCAGTAGTACAATAAGCAAGGGGAAGCAGGGATAAAGTTAGAGGGATAACAAGGCGGAGAGTACATCATCGAGAACCTTATAGAGCTTTGCAGAAAGCACCACTGGACAGTAGAGATATTTAGGATTCATCCGTATAGTAACCAGTAGTTCTCAACTTTTGCTGCACATTGGAATCACCTGGACTGTCTGAACCATGAATTCTCACTGTAATTTGCCTTCTCTGAATCTACTACATGTTTTGGCCACTGCTTCTCCACGTGGTCTTTTTCTGTGGTCTTTTCACATTATTTCTTCATCAGGGTAGTTGGGCTTCTTCTCATAGAACACTGTCATTTCCACTGAATGTTAGCGGTTAAAACAAGTAATGTGGCTAATACCATTTCAAGAGGAGACTACAGATAGACATGAATGCAGGGAGGCCTGATTCCCTGGAAACTACTGATATAACAAACTACCACATAAGGGGAGCATAGACACCAGGGATGTGAGGGACAATGAAAAGATGCGCAGAGAAATGAATTCTAGATCCCAGTAGATTTGTTGGAGTTAGGACACTCAAAGCAATGAGACAGGAAAACAGGTGTGGCAACTGGAGAGTAGAATGCTTGATACAAGGAAAGGATTAAAGTCACTGGTGATGGCAATGTCTAGGGCAGTGTTTCTCGACCCCGGTGGTACATTAGAAATATATCCCATATGCCATAAGATTTTGATATAATTAGGCTGGAGTGGGGCTGTCACTGGCATTACTTTAAAGGTCCTTGGATAATTCTACTCAAGGGCTAATTCTAATTCTAATTAAGTACCACTGATTTAGAATATGACCTTAAGGGGAATGGCTGAGACAAGCTGTAGGACAAAATCATTTGGAACAAAAAAGTTAAACAAAAAACTGTCACCAGGCGATTGAAATAATCACCTGCCTGAACACTGAAATTACACAAAAAATTGTGAAAGGAGTAGTGATAAAGAATGAGAAGTTCAGGACTGAAAGATTCAAGGAAAGAGTAACTCCAGGTTTCCATTTTATGGAAAAATGATGATATCACAGGCAGAAATGGGGAAACATGGCAGAGAAATTTATTTGTGGGGAAAATGTTCAGATTTTTAGACAAAATAATATAAATAATATAAAGACTTAATATGGCAGGGACAACTGCATATCTATGTGCTAAAGAATGAAATTGGATCTCACTCCAAAACATATACAAAAATTAACCAAAAATAATCAAAGATCTAAATGTAAGAGCTAAAAATAAAAAGTGCTTAGAAAAAAACATAGGGATAAATACTTATGGCTCTGGTTTAGGCAACAATTTCTTAGACACAACACCTATAATCTGTGGCCATACCACACTGATTGTATCCAATCTCATCAGATACATCACCAACAACACAAGCAACAATAGAAAAAATAAATAAATTGGGCTTCCTCAAAATTAAAAACTTTTCCAAGATCACCATCGGGAATGAGAAAAGACACCCCACAAAATGGGAAAGAAATTTGCGAATCGTCTAACAGATAAGAGACTTGCATCTAAAAAATACAAAGAACTCTTAAACCTCAATAGTAAAAAAGAAAATAGCCCAATTAAAGAACAGACAAAGGATCTCAATATACATTTCTACCAAAGAAGATACACAAATGGCCAATAAATGCATACAAAAATGCACAACACCAACAACTCTCAAGGAAATGCAAATCAAAACTGCAGTGAAATACTGCTTCACACCACTAAGATGGTCATAATAAAATGATGAATAATAACAAGTGTTAGTGTCTTGGTCTGCTATAACAAAATATCATAGACTGGGTGGCTTATAAAGAACCGTTCTTCATAGACAGTCATTTTCTCACTATAACCTCACATAGTAGAAGAGGTGGGGGAATCTCCCTGGGATCTTTTTTACAAGAGCACCTCATCACCTCCCCAAAATTCCCACCTCCATATACCATCACCTTGAGCAGTTTCTCAAAGGTTAAACATAGTTGCCATATAACCCAGCAATTCCACTTGTAGGCATATACCTACAAGAATTAAAAACATATGTCTATGCAAAAACTTGCACACATATGTTTATAACAGCAATATTTACAATAACCAGTAAGTGGAAATAACTCAAATGGCCATTAACTGATGAATGAATAAATAAGATATAGCAGGCATATTCTTACAATAGAATATTACTGAGCCATATAAAGGAATGAAGTACTTCATACCTCTACAGCATCAATGGACTTTGGAAACATTATGATAGGCCAGGTGCGGTGGCTCAGGCCTGTAATCCCAGCACTTTGGGAGGTCGAGACGGGCAGATCACGAGGTCAGGAGATCCAGACCATCCTGGCTAACATGGAGAAATCCCATCTCTACTAAAAATACAAAAAAATTAGCCGGGCGTGGTGGCGGGCGCCTGTTGTTCCAGCTACTCGGGAGGCTGAGGCAGGAGAATGGCGTGAACCCGGGAGACAGAGCTTGCAGTAAGCCGAGATCGCGCCACTGCACTCCAGCCTGGGCGACAGAGCGAGACTCCGTCTCAAAAAAAAAAAAAAAAAAAATTATGATAATTGAAAGATGCTAGTCACAAAAGACCACATATTGTTTGATTATGTTTATATGAAATACCTAAAATTTCTAGAAAAAGTAAATCTATTGAGAGAAAAAGTGGATTAGTGGTTGCCTAGGCTTGGAGGTGATAAAGGGAACGGGGGGAGGGGTAACTGCTAAAGAGTACAACGTTTCTTTTTCACATGATAAAAATAGTTTTAAATTGTAGTGATAGTTACATAACCCTTTGAGTATACTAAAACCATTGAATAGAATACTTTAAATGGGTGAATTTTAGGATAGGTGAATTCTATCTCTATAAAACCATTTACAAGAAAAGATGCAACATATTTAAAATTCAGAGATAATCAGAATGTACAAAACTTGGTTATATTTTGGCAGTCCCTCAAAAAGTTAAACATAGAATTACCATGTTACCAATTATCCAGCAGTACTACTCCTGGGTATATAGTCAAGAGAAATGAAGACATGTCCACACAGAAACTTGGACACAAATGTCCCACCAAAAGGGAGAAACAACCCAAAAGCCCCTCAGTGGGTGAGTGGATAAAGTGTGATATATGCATGAATTGAAAATATTCAGACATAAAAAAGAAAGAAATACTTATAAATGCTGTAAGTTGGATGAACCTCAAAAACAGTACATTAAGTGAAAGAAGCCAGACCAAAAAAAGTCACATATTGTGTGACTTTTTTTATATGATATATCCAGAATTGGCAAATCCAGAGAGACAGAAAGTAGATTCGTGGTTACTGGGTGACCAGGGAAGAGACAGTGATTACTCAATGGGCATAAGGGTGTTTCTCTGGGGAGATGAACAAGTTTTGAAGCTAGAGAGAGATGGTGGTTGCCCGACATTGCATGTGACTACACTAAATGACACTGAGCTGTATACTTTATCATCATTGATTATATGTTATGTGAATTTTACCTTAATTTTAAAAACTTGTGCGTTAAACTTCTTTCAATTTATACCAATTAAAACATTAATTGGTATAAATGGAAAGAATTAAAACATTAAAAAGACATCAAGATTAAGCATCTCACCCATGCAGTGTATCTACCACATACAAATTGAAATAGAATATAATATGCAGTTAGAGTTTATAATTTTTCAGGGGAAAATTTTTAAAAAACACATTTTGCTCACTTCTCTCAACACAATGTGTTTGTCATGAGGTCCCAACATCCCTAAAACAAGTATTAAAGACAGAAGTGCTTGTTTGTGAAAAGCAGAAAGCTTCTTCTGGAGCATGTTGACATCTCAAAGGATATTTTGAGATCTCACTTTTTGAGACATCACTTATTATAATTAATAGTATATTTAGCTCATTGCTAACATGGTGTCCGTATTATTACTCTTGTCACTAAAGTGTCTGGATCTAAGATGTGATTAAGTAAATTCCTAGAAATAAGTACTGCATGGAAATCTCTGCTAGTGGATGGAGCATGGCATCAGGAGGGGCCTGGCAGTGGGTACAATGGGCTATAGGCAGAGATCCAGACAGGCTATATATTTGAACTGCCTCATTAATTAAGTCTTCCAGGCCACCTATTATAGCATCTATTACACATCTGGCACCTGAAAAAGAACTTTCTTTGATTTGGTAATCCAAACCTTACAATAGGACTGGTGTTAGGTACAGTTTTGTCATCATGACTTGGCTACTCTGGTATATCATAGTAACAAATCCCACACAGAGAACCTTACACAGCCCCAGCTTCATAAAGCTCCCAGGATGACTGATAGTTTGCTTCTTTTCAGTAACCTGTTTTGGGTCCTATAATCAAACATCATGTGGGGTCTTGTGGGTACTCAACCTCATAGGCAAACTTTGTCCACACCTCTCTACCCCCATTTCACACAAACACACACAGCCTGCCCTGTAGCGCCCTCTGGGGCCAAAGGATGCACACCCCAGTGGTAAGTTATACCCTTTGGAGGATGAGCCTGAAGAAGGTGGAGGCCTATGAAATGGGGCTTGGCACTATTTGACAGGGAATTCCACTGTCCAGTATGTTGAGCATGGCTGGGGTTGGGAAGAGAGTACAGCACTGGAACTGGGTGGGCATATGCCCTTGGCCCAGTGGAGTCTTCACTCTGTGAGGAGGAGAATCGCTGGAGGAGGGTCTAAACAGGGGCTCTGGAAAGGACAGGCCTGGAGAATAAGGGTGGTACTGCCTCAGATAATGCTCAGCACACTTTGCATAGCTTTGAACAGCTGCATTAACCATAGATTCAGGAGTCATTTCACTTAGGACTAGCCTTATCAGAGTGAGTTACAAGGAAAGGAAGCTGAATAAGGAAACCTAGGCCACCAGCCTGTCCCAGGGAAAGGGTATGTCACAGCAGTTTCTGAGCTTAGATGTTTCTGAGCTTCTATTCCTGCCATTCTAAAGCCCAAAGCACTGCTCAGTTTCCCCAAATAGGTCAAAGATACAAAGCTGGGGAAGGAGAGCGCCAAGGACATGGGAAGAAAGGTGGGTAGGTCTCCAGGGTCTCTGTCTTGTTCTCCAGCCCTACCCCATTTATTAATCTCCTTGTTTTCTTCACCTCCTAAGGATGGCAAATACCCCCAGGATAAAACATTTACCAGTTCACCAATTTCTGCTCTTACAATCACTCTATTCTCTCAAGGCAATTCTTCCCAGTTTTCTTAGGCATTTCATATTACTAACAAGATGTTTTCTATATTTTTTCTGGATATATTTTGTATGAGGGTTGGACTGAATTATAGTTGACTATTACTGGAAGTGGAAATCCCCAATTGGCTTTCAGATAGTTGGTTTTTGGCAAACTGTGTTTCAGTGAATGGACCCCAAGTAGAGCTTCAAGTTTCCTTAGATTAGCTTTGAAAATGCATTATTTAACAAACACTTCTTTAACCAGCACTTACTGACTATTACCCTCTTTAAGGCACTATAGTAAACCACAGAGAAGATACAAAAATGAAAACAATGTAAGTTGTGTCGTTAAAAGAATGTATAATCTTGAGGGGGAGTCAGACATACGTATAAATAATAAAGGAGTGAAGGAGGAGGGCGAAGTGCAGAGAATGAACTGACTCTGGAAGTAACACGCCTGGAGATTACAAATTGGAACAGAAATGTCATGTTTTGTGAGGACTATAAATCAAAGGTCTCAAAATGGTAGGCCACAGACTGAATTCAGCCCACAAACGTGTTTGGTTTGGCCCACATCGTGTTTTAAAAATAAGAGATTTCCCATTTAAAAAAAAAATCTGGATTTCCATCTTCTGAAAACTCAGAATATCTGGCAACTGTCCTCATTGCCAACTGGCAAGTGTCAGCTGGAGCCGAGTGGAAGCTGCCTCCTTGGAGAGGGCCTCATTTCTTCCAGTCACCACATTTCCCATCAGTCCCCCACCATCAGCCTTCACACCCCGCACAGTTCACCTTCTCCACCTAATGAAAAGTGCTACATAAATGCAGCTTCCAGCCCTTCTTCAGAGAGCTAATTTTAGGCCTTCAATTTCATGCCTTCAATTTCATGCCTCACCACCCCCCACCCCTCCACACACATTGTTAACCCCATTTTTCTATATAGAAAATCTAGACCACAAGGACTCACCACCACCGTCAGTCATTGAAATATCCTTCCTGTAGGCACTTAAGTTTATGACCTCTGTGTGTTGATCCTATCCCTGCAGCATAGTCTGTGGGAGAGCGAGTCCATGAAAGTTCCTTCCCAGCAGTTTTACTGCCAGAGGCTTTAGAGGAGAAGCCACCCCTAAGAGTTCTGTTTCAGAATAGGGTTTAGGGATTGTGTCCTATTACCTATAAGTTGAAATTTGAGTATCAGATTCTACTATTCTTCCATGAGCCCTTAGGGCATATTTAATCATCTAATCATTCTGAACTAGAGGAAAATTTGTAGTCTAGCTCAGAGATGCAGGAGGAATAGAAACTCATCTGCAGGAGACTGGGGATCCTGGCTCTAGCTTCACACCAGATTCCTAGCATTGAGAAGGCTCCTGCAGCTTCAGCTAACTGGTGAAATTCTAAGGAGGAACAAGTTTCTGGACAGACGTTGGTAATTTGTGATCATTATTAACAACAGCCCTATTTCTTGTAGGCCTCGTGAAAGCTTGTTTGATTCGGTCAGTAAACTCCCTGTTGTTTTCTCTGTCAAGAGCTTCCAGTCAAAGCTCTCGGTGTGGTCCATTAAGAGGTGTCCCTTTCAGCTGGCTAATCAGGAAAAATATAATTAAATCTAACTGATGAGTAAGGTTGTCATCTAACAGGGCAGGGGTTAGGTGAGAATAACATGAATTTCCAAGATCTCACTCTATAAAGAGGAAATGAGGAGCCAGAAACACAGTGGCTGGAAATTTAAAGTATCCATGCATTTAAAGGAGCAAATAATAGTGTGCTAAAGGAAGTGCACAGAGCAGATTCCAGTGGAACAGAGTCAGGTAGGAAAGCTTAGCACTGAAGAAAAGCACTGTCCAAACTGACTTGAAGGGCGGGCAGCCGTTGTGTAAGTCAACACCCTGGAGTAGGGAGGGACTGGATGCATGCCACTGAGGCCCAAACTAAGAATGGTCAAAATCTTTTGACCATTTTAAAAGAGTTCTTTATGTGTTCTGGATCTAAGTCTTTTGTGAGACATGTATTTCAAGTATTGCTCTCTCCATCTATAACTTGCCTTTTAATTATTTAACAGTATCTTTTGTTAAATAATTTTAATTCAATGAAATCCGATTTATTGATGTTTTCCTTTATGGTTTATGCCTTCAGTGTTCTACGGAATCTGCTTAACCCAAGGTTATGAAGATGTCTTTTTAGGTTTATCTCTAGAAATTTTATAGTTTTAGTTTTGTAAATATTTTGGTCAATGATTTATTTTAATTAATTTTATGTATGGTATGAAATAAGGATCAAGAGTCCTTTTTTTCCATATGGATATTCAGTTGTTCCAGCACCTTTGTTGAAAAGACTATCATTTCTTCTCATGGCATTAATAATCTTTGTAAAAAATCTGCCAATAATATGTGTGGGCCAACTTCTGGACCAATATTCTGGTCCATTGATCTAGATTTGTGTCTTAATGCCAATGCCACACTATCTTGAAATCTATAACTCTGTAAGTCTGGAAACTAGGTAGTATAACTCTCCAACTTCATTCTTGTTTTTAAAAAATTGTTTTAGCTATTCTAGTTCTTTTGTCTTTCCATATAAATTTTAAAAATCAGTTTGTCAATTTCTACAGAAAAACCTATTGGGATTTTGGTAGATACTGTATTGGGTCTAACTTTGAAAGAACTGACATTGAACCATATGAAATCTCTAGTCCATGAACATAGTGTATCTCTCCATTTATTAGATCTTCTTTAAGGTCTAAGCAATGTTTTTGTAATTTTCTTTCTATAGGTCTTGCTTATATTTTGTTAAATTTATCCCTAAGTATTTTATATTTTCTATGTAACTGAAAGTAATCTGGCTTTTCCCATTTCAATTCCAATTAAACATTGAAAATATTTAGAAGAACAATTGATTTTTTAATATTGCCCTTGTACCATGTGACTTTATTAAACTTAATCATTAATCTGGTAAGGATTTTCTTTGGTAGATGTCTCAGGATTTTCTGCATACACAATCATGTTGTTTGCATATATAGACAGATGTATACCTTTTACTTCTATTCCCTGCTTTGTTGCACTGACTAGAAATTCTAATAGATAGTAGAGTATGAATAGTAGGGGTAAGCATCCTAGTCTTGTTCCAGATGACAGGGAAAAAGCATTCAGCTTTCTGATAATGTGTATGATATTATTTTCCAGTTTTCTGTAGATGACTTAGATCAGATCTAGGAAATTTCATTCTATCCCTAATTGGCTGAGAAGTTGTCTTTTTTAAAAAATCATGAATATATGCTGGATTTTGTAGAAAGCTTTTTCAACACTTACTAAATGATCATATGGTTTTTCATTTTTAGTCCATAAGTATGATCAATTACATTGATTAATTTTGAATGTTAAACCAACCTCAGATTCCTGGTCCTTTTATATAGTATTGGGGATTAAATTTGATTTTCATTTCCTATACTGTCTTGGTCTGGTTTGGGTATTGAGGTAATACTGGCCTTGAAAAATAAGTTGACACATGTTTTCTCCTCATTTTTCTAAAAGAGTATATGTGAAATTGGTAATATTTCTCCTTAAATAAGAAGTCATCTGGGCCTAGAGTTTTCTTCTGGAGAAGGCTTTAATGACTAATTCAATTTATTTAATAGATAAAGGCTATTCATATGACTTCAGTAAATGCTGTAATATATGTCTTTCAAGGAATTTGTCCATTTTATTTTAATTAGTAAATATGCTGGCATAAGTTGACCACAATATTTGTAGGTTGTCTCTATTATTTGTCTATTTTCTTTTCATTGACTTTCGCTCTTATCTTTAACATATTCCTCTGTATGATTATTTTGTGTTAGTTTTTGCTTCTTTTTTGCAGTTCCTTTTTCTAGTTTCTAAAGGTGAAGTTTACACCACAGATTTTAGACTTTTCTAATAAAAGCATTTAAAGCCATACATTCCCCTCTAAGCACTACTTTACTGTATCCCACAAATTTTAATTTGTTTTGTTTTTATTTTGATTCAGTTCAAATTATTTTGTAATATTTCTTATTATTTCTTCTTTTACCTATAATTTATTTAGAACTGTCTTGTCTAATTTCCAAAACTTCAGATTTGACAGATTAACTTTTTGTGTTTGTTTCTAATTTAATTTCATAACAGTCATAGAATATAATTTCTATGATTTTGTCCTTTAAAATTTATTGATCATCTGGGTGTAGTGGCTCACACCTGTAATTCCAGCACTTTGGGAGACCAAGGTGGGAGGATCACCTGAGGCCAGGAGTTCAAGACCAGCCTGGGCAACATAGCAAGATCCTTTCCCTAAAAAAATAAAATAAAATAGAACAATTTTTAAAATAAATTTGTTGATACATGTTTTATGGGCAACATATCATCCATCTTGGTGAATGGTTCACATGAAGTTAAAAAATTTGTATTCTACTATTGTTAGGTAAAGTGTTTTATAAACATCAATTAGGTGGTTGGTTTGATAGTGTTGCTCAAGTCTTCTATTATCCTTAGTGATTTGTCTATTTTTTCCCATCAATGATGGAGACATGAGCCGTAGAATCTTCCAATGTAATTGAAGAGAGTTTTGGTCTCTTCTTTTTTCAGGTCTTTTTTATTTTGTGTACTTTGAAGCATTGTTTTGGAGGGCATCAACATTTAGGATGATATTTTCCTGATGAATTCACCTCTCTATAATTATGAAAAGATTCTCTTTATGCCTAATAATATTTCATGCTCTCAAGTCTAATTTATATTATATTAATACAGCCATGTTATCTATTTATTGTGCTTAATGTTTACATAGTATATCTTTTTCCATCCTTTTATTCTTAACCTAACTGGGTCTTTTTATTTAAAATGCAGTTTTGCGTGTGTGTGTGTGTGTGTGTGTATGTGTATTTTGTTGTTTTGTTGGGTCTTGCTTTTTTATCCAGTCAGAGAACTCTGTATTTTCATTAGAACGTTTATATACTTTACATATATTGTAATTATTGATATGGTTGGATTTATACCTATCATCTTGCTATTTGTTTACTATTTATTACATTTGTACTTATACTTTTTTCCTCTTCTTCTCAATCTTTTGGATTAATACTATATTAACAGGATGTAAATATTTAACTTGTTTTATTATGAAGCTAAACTGGTATTTCCCCCTTTTGTTTTGTCTCATTAGGAGGACTGACTTAACACATGGAAAATGAGTGGCTTTACCTTACTCCTAGCCTATATGAAATGTGAATTTCTTCTTTTGGCCAAACTCTTTATTTAGTATTCTGTAGTTGTTTAACACACACTTAAAAGGTCTTACTGGGGGAGGTTCTTGCAGATTCCCAAGGAAATGTCAGAAAGGCAAAATGGCCAGCATTATCCATTTGCTTTTTTGGATTTACTGGGTGAATAGCACTTTCCTTACATAGGTATCTGGTTTCAGGTTTTTCATACTGAGAACATTGAGATTTCAGTTGGAAGACGCCCTGAAATCTTATGAGTAGCATACCCCAACCACCCTCTAATAGCTGTCTTGTTTATATAGGCAGAATGATTCATTTCTCCATTTTACATGGCTAGATGTTTTCTGGAAGATCTTAGGATTGTTTGCCTCATTTACTGGGAAAAATCAGATAGGAAGTGGCTTTTAGGGACCCTTTTACTTGGAAAGTTACAACACTAGTGCAACAAGTCTTAATACATTTAATATTTGCTTGCTGAAAAGCAATGTCATAAAGTCAAATAAAATTAAGCATATTTTGGATTCTATTCCAAGATGGCTGAATAGGAACAGCTCTGGTCTGCAGCTCCCAGCATGATTGATGCAGAAGACAGGTGATTTCTGCATTTCCAACTGAGGTACCTGGTTCACCTCATTGGGACTGATTGGACAGTGGGTGCAGCCCATGGAGGGTGGGCCGAAGCAGGGTGGGACATCACCTCACCCAGGAAGCTCAAGGGGTCAGGGGATTTCCTTCTTCTAGCCAAGGAAAGTGATGACAGATGGAAAATGGAAAAAAGGGACACTCCCGCCCAAATACTGCACTTCTCCAACGTAGCAAATGGCACACCAGGATATTATATCCTGCGCCTGGCTCGGTGGATCCCACACCCATAGAGCCTTGCTCACTGCTAGCACAGCAGTCTGAGATCGACCCGTGAGGCAGCAGCCTGGCTGGGGGAGGGTGTCTGCCATTGCTGAGGCTTGAGTAGGTAAACAAAGTGGCCAGGGAAGCTTGAACTGGGTGGAGCCCACCAGAGCTCAGCAAGGCTGGCTGCCTCTGTAGTCCCCACCTCTGGGGGCAGGGCGTACGTGAACAAAAGGCAGCAGAAACTTCTGCAGAATTAAATGTCCCTGTCTGACAGCTCTGAAGAGAGCACTAGTTCTCCCGGCACAGTGTTTGAGTTCAAAGAACGGACAGACTGCCTTCTTAAGTGGGTCCCTGACCCCCCTGTAGCCTAACTGGGAGACACATCCCAGTAGGGGTCGACTGACACCTCATACAGGCAGGTGCCACTCTGGGATGAAGCTTCCAGAGGAAGGATCGGGCAGCAATATTTGCTGTTCTGCAGCCTCCACTGGTGATACCCAGGCAAACAGGGCCTGAAGTGGACCTCCAGCAAACTCCAACAGACCTACAGCTGAAGGATCTGACTGTTAGAAGGAAAACTAACAAACAGAAAGCAATAGCATCAACATCAACAAAAAGGACATCCACACCAAAACCCCATCTGTAGGTCACCAACATCAAAGACCAAAGGTAGGTAAAACCAGAAAGTTGGGGAGAAGCCAGAGCAGAAAAGCTGAAAATTATAAAATTCTAAAAACCAGAGCACCTCTTCTCCTCCAAAGGATCACAGCTCCTTGCCAGCAGTGAAACAAAGCTGGATGGAGAATGACTTTGATGAGCTGACAGAAGTAGGTTTCAGAAGGTCGGTAATAACAAACTTCTCCGAGCTAAAGGAGGATGTTTGAACCCATCACAGGGAAGCTAAAAACGTTGAAAAAAGATTAGACAAATAGCAAACTAGAACGAGTTAGAATGGCACGAGAACTACGTGATGCATGCACAAGCTTCAATAGCCAATTTGATCAAGTAGAAGAAAGGGTATCAGTGATTGAAGACCAAATTAATGAAATAAAGTGAGAAGAGAAGTTTAGAGAAAAAAGAGTAAAAAGAAACAAACAAATCCTCGAATAAATATGAGACTATGGGAAAAGACCAAATCTACATTTGATTGGTGTACCTGAAAGTGATGGAGAGAATGGAACCAAGTTGGAAAACACTCTTCAGGACATTATCCAGGAGAACTTCCCCAACCTAGCAAAGCAGGCCAACATTCAAATTCGGGAAATACAGAGAACACCACAAAGATACTCCTTGAGAAGAGCGACCCCAAGATACATAACTGTCAGATTCACCAAGGTTGAAATGAAGGAAAAAAATGTTAAGGACAGCCAGAGAGAAAGGTCAGGTTACCACAAAGGGAAGCCCGTCAGGCTAACAGCGGATCTCTCGGCAGAAACTCTACAAGCCAAAAGAGAGTGGGGGCCAATATTCAACATTTTTAAAGAAAAGAATTTTCAACCCAGAATTTCATATCGAGCCACACTAAGCTTCATAAGTGAAGGAAAAATAAAATCCTTTACACACAAGCAAATGCTGAAAGATTTTGTCACCACCAGGCCTGCCTTACAAGAGCTCCTGAAGGAAGCACTAAACATGGAAGGGAACAACCAGTATCAGCCACTGCAAAAACATGCCAAATTGTAAAGATCATCCATGCTAGGAAGAAACTGCATCAACTAACGGGCAAAAAAACCCAGCTAACATCATAATGACAAGATCAAATCCACACATAACAATATTAATCTTAAATGTAAATGGGCTAAATGCCCCAGTTAAGACACAAACTGGCAAGTTGGATAAAGAGTCAAGACCCATCAGTGTGCTCTATTCAGGAGACCCATCTCACGTGCAGAGACACACATAGGTTCAAAATAAAGGGATGGAGGAAGATCTACCAAGCAAATGGAAAGCAGAAAAAAGCAGGGGTTGCAATCCTAGTCTCTGATAAAACATATTTAAACCAACAAAGATCAAAAGAGGCAAAGAAGGCCATTATATAATGGTAAAGGGATCAATTCAAGAAGAGCTAACTATCCTAAATATATATGCAACCAATATAGGAGCACCCAGATTCATAAAGCAAGTCCTTAGAGACCTACAAAGAGACTTAGACTCCCACACAATAGTAATGGGAGAGTTTAACACCCCACTGTCAATATTAGACAGATCAATGAGACACAATGTTAACAAGAATATCCAGGACTTGCACTCAGTTCTGCACCAAGCAGACCTAATAGACATCTACTGAACTCTCCAGCCCAAATCAACAGAATATACATTCTTCTCAGCACTACATTGCACTTATTCCAAAATTGACCACATAGTTGGAAGTAAGGCACTCCTCAGCAAATGGAAAACAACAGAAATCACAACAAACTGACTCTCAGACCACAGTGCAATCAAATTAGTACTCAAGATTAAGAAACTCACTCAAAACCACACAACTACATGGAAACTGAACAACCTGCTCCTGAATGACTACTGGGTAAATAACAAAATTAAGCCAGAAATAAAGATGTTCTTTGAAACCAATGAGAACAAAGACACAACCTACCAGAATCTCTGGGACACATTTAAAGCAGTGTGTAGAGGGAAATTTATAGCACTAAATGCCCACAAGAGAAAGCAGGAAAGATCTAAAATTGACACCCTAACATAACAATTAAAAGAACTAGAGAAACAAGAGCAAACACATTCAAAAGCTAGCAGAAGGCAAGAAATAACTAAGATCAGAGCAGAACTGAAGGAGATAGAAACATAAAAAACCCTTGAAAAAATCAATGAATTCAGGAGCTGGTTTTTAGAAAAGATCAACAAAATTGATAGATTGCTAGCAAGACTAACAAAGCAGAAAAGAGATAAGAATCAAATAGATGCAATAAAAAATGATAAAGGGGATATCATCACCAATCCCACAAATACAATCTACCATCAAAGAATACTATAAACACCTCTACGCAAATAAACTAGAAAATCTAGAAGAAATGGATAAATTCCTCGACACATACACCCTCCCAAGACTAAACCAGGAAGAAGCTGAATCTCTGAATAGACCAATAACAGGTTTTGAAATTGAGGCAATAATTAACAGCCTACCAACCAAAAAAAGTCCAGGAACAGAAGGATTCACAGCCGAATGCTACCAGAGGTATAAAGACGAGCTGGTACCATTCCTTCTGAAAATATTCCAATCAATAGAAAAAGAGGAAATCCTCCCTAACTCATTTTATGAGGCCAGCATCATCCTGATACCAAAGCCTGGCAGAGACACAACAAAAAAAGAGAATTTTAGACCAATATCCTTGATGAACATCGATGTGAAAATCCTCAATAAAATACTGGCAAACCGAATCCAGCAGCACACCAAAAAGCTTATCCACCATGATCAAGTCAGCTTCATCCCTGGGATGGAAGACTGGTTCAACATACACAAATCAATAAATGTAATCCATCACATAAACAGAATGAATGACAAAAACCACATGATTATCTCAATAGATGCAGAAAAGGCCTTCGACATAATTCAACAGCACTTCATACTAAAAACTCTCAATAAACGAGGTACTGATGGAACGTATCTCAAATTAATAAAAGCTATTTATGACAAACCCACAGCCAATATCATACTGAATGGGCAAAAACTGGAAGCATTCCCTTTGAAAACTGGCATAAGACAGGGATGCCCTCTCTCACCACTCCTATTCAACAGAGTGTTGGAAATTCTGGCCAGGGCAATCAGGCAAGAGAAAGAAATAAAGCGTATTCAATTAGGAAAAGAGGAAGTCAAATTGTCCCTGTTTGCAGATGACATGATTGTATATTTAGAAAACCCCATCGTCTCAGCCCAAAATCTCCTTAAACTGATTTGCAACTTCAGCAAAGTCTCAGGATACAAAATCAAGGTGCAAAAACCACAAGCATTCTTATACACCAATAACAAACAGAGAACCAAATCATGAGTGAACTCCCATTCACAATTGCAATTGCTACAAAGAGAATAAAATACCTAGGAATCCAACTTACCAGAGATGTGAAGGACCTCCTCAAGAAGAACTGCAAACCACTGCTCAACGAAATAAAAGAGGACACAAACAAATGGAAGAACATTCCATGCTCATGGATAGGAAGAATCAATATTGTGAAAATGGCCATACTGCCCAAGGTAATTTATAGATTCAATGCCATCCCCATCAAGCTACCAATGACTTTCTTCACAGAATTGGAAAAAACTACTTTAAAGTTCATGTGGGACCAAAAAAGAGCTCACATAGCCAAGACAATCCTAAGCCAAAAGAACAAAGCTGGAGGCATCACGCTACCTGACTTCAAACTATACTACAAGGCTACAGTAACCAAAACAGCATGGTACTGGTACCAAAACAGATATATAGACCAATGAAACAGAACAGAGGCCTCAGAAATAACACCACACATCTACAACCACCTGATCTTTGACAAACCTGACAAAAAGAAGCAATGGGGAAAGGATTCCCTGTTTAATAAATGGTGCTGGGAAAACTGGCTAGCCGTATGTTGAAAGCTGAAACTGGATCCCTTCCTTACACCTTATACAAAAATTAATTCAAGATGGATTAAAGACTTAAATGCTAGACCCAAAACCATAAAAACCCTAGAAGAAAACCTAGGCAATACCATTCAGGCCATAGGCATGGGCAAGGACTTCATGTCTAAAACACCAAAAGCAATGGCAACAAAAGCCAAAATTGACAAAGGGGATCTAATTAAACTGAAGAGCTTCTGCACAGCAAAAGAAACTACCGTCAGAGTGAACAGGCAGCCTACAGAATGGGAGAAAATTTTTGCAATCTACCCATCTGACAAAGGGCTAATATCCAGAATATACAATGAACTTAAACAAATTCACAGGAAAAAAACAAACAACCCCATCAAAAAGTGGGCAAAGGATATGAACAGACACTTCTCAAAAGAAGACATTCATGCATCCAACAGACACATGAAAAAATGCTCATCATCACTGGTCATCAGAGAAATGCAAATCAAAACCACAATGAGATACCATCTCACACCAGTTAGAATGGCAATCATTAAAAAGTCAGGAAACAACAGGTGCTGGAGAGGATGTGGAGAAATAGGAACGCTTTTACAGTGTTGTTGGGAGTGTAAACTAGTTCAACCATTGTGGAAGACAGTGTGGCAATTCCTCAAGGATCTAGAACTAGAAATATCATTTGACCCAGCGACCCCATTATTGGGTATATACCCAAAGGATTATAAATCATGCTACTATAAAGACACATGCACACTTATGTTTATTGTGGCACTATGCACAATAGCAAAGACTTGGAACCAACCCAAATGTCCATCAATGATAGACTGGATTAAGAAAATGTGGCACATATACACCATGGAATACTATGCAGCCATAAAAAATGATGAGTTCATGTCCTTTGTAGGGACATGGATGAAATCGGAAACCATCATTCTCAGTAAACTATCGCAAGAACAAAAAACCAAACACCGCATATTCTCACTCATAGGTGGGAATTGAACAATGAGATCACATGGACACAGGAAGGGGAACATCACACTCTGGGGACTGTTTTGGGGTGGGGGGAGGGGGGAGGGATAGCACTGGGAGATATACCTAATGCTAGATGACAAGTTAGTGGGTGCAGCACACCTGCATGGCACATGTATACGTATGTAAGTAACCTGCACAATGTGCACATGTACCCTAAAACTTAAAGTATAATAATTAAAAAATAAATAAATTAATTAATTAATTTAAAAAATGTGGCACATATACACCATGGAATACTATGCAGCCATTAAAAAGGATGAGTTCATGTCCTTTGCAGGGACATGGACGTAGCTGGAAACCATCATTCTGAGCAAACTATCACAAGGGCAGAAAACCAAACACTGCACGTTCTCACTCATAATTGGGAATTGAACAATGAGAACACTTAGACACAGAGCAGGGAACATCACACCCCGGGGCCTTTCGGGGGTGGAGGGCAGGGGGAGGGATAGCATTAGGAGAAATACCTAATGTAAATGACGAGTTAATGGGTGCAGCAAACCAACATGACACATGCATACCTATATAACAAACCTGCACGTTGTGCACATGTACCCTAGAACTTAAAGTATAATTTAAAAAAATAAAAATAAGAGGTCAAAAAAATTAAACATGTTTTACTTTTTTCCTCACAAGAACATAAAAATTACGGAGGGGAACTTAACAGGGAATTTTTAAAAGGTAACACAATTTTTCCTTTAAGTAGTCCTTGGGTAGTTATGACAGAATAGTTTGCACTTTTTGTTTGTTTCTTTGAACTGGGATTTTGGTCTAAAGTTTTGTTTGTTTCTAGTATCTGCTTCTGCCTCCCCCTCTATCAGATCGGCTTCCTCCACTGCCACCACCTCTTGGTGCTCCACCGCCTGAATTGCCGTGGGAATCACGTGGAGGATTTCCATAGAAGGGGGAAGCCGTCTTTCTTGTCTGCCAACCCGACCACGACCACTTGATTAGAGATCACTTCGGCTGCTTGAGTAACTGTCTCGACTTCCACCATATCCGTCACGTGAACTGCTATAATCATCGCTTCCACCATAAGATGGGGGGGCGGGGGCCCTCCTGTAGGTGGAGCACTACGTGAGTTACGATAACTTTCATATGAATCTCTGTAGGAATCTCCAGCTGGATGATCTGAATAGTCATGATCACTATTATATCCATCTCTATCGCTATAGCCTCTTGATGGATAGTCATCACGTGAACTGAAATGACCATAATCACGGTAAGTACAATCTCGCGGTGGTGGTGGTGCATAACCTCTTGTATCACGAGAACTTGGCTAATCTCTGCTTGAAGAACTGTCTTCAAGAAGAACCCTCTACGAGAGGGCAGCGGTTCCCTTCCAGGTGGACCGCACTAACTATCTCTTCCACGTGACACAGGAGCTCTTCCTCCCATTCCACTGCTGCTGCGAACTGGTCCTGAAGGTGCAGAACTCTTAGGAGGAGGACCCCCACTTCTTGGTGGTGGTCTTCTTTTTACTGGGAGTGGTCCCCTGGAAGAACTCATGTTAAAATTCATGGAGTATCCACTGTCATCCATGTGTCTTCTCCATGAGGGAGGTCTCCTGGTTCCTCCACTTCTTCCTCTTCCACCTCTAAGACCTTTTGGAGGGCCTCTACTTCTTGGAGGTGGAGGCAGTCCACGTCTACCACTTTCAAATGATGGTTTGGTGGCTTGTTCCACCTTGATGGCTTTTCCATCTAATGACTTTCCATTCATGTCTCTGGCTGCATCCTTAGCATCTGCTGGGCTTTCAAAGGTGACAAAAGCAAATCCTCTTGATTTGTTGGTTTCATGCTCTTTCATCAAGAGTGCTTCCACTATTCGTCCATATTAGCCAAATACTGCTTCAAGAGCTTTCTTATTTGTTTCCGTATTAAGCCCACCAATGAAGAACTTTGCTGGACAATCTGCTTCAACTTTTTTTTTTTTTTTGCCAGTGAGTCAGAGGGGTGACAGTGGATTCAAGCTCCAACGAGCTTGCCGACAGGGGCTTCCTAGCAGCTCATCACCAGTGGCGGCTGCCGGGTCTGAGGACCAAACCGCAAAGCCGCTAGCGCTACTGTGCAACCGTGAATTGTTAAACTCTTTCCTGAAAAGTAGAGAAGAAGAAATTACGTTTAAAAACTCACCCCTCGGCCAGGCGCGGTGGCTCACACCTGTAATCCCAACACTTTGGGAGGCCAAGGCGGGCAGATCACGAGGTCAGGAGTTCGAGACCAGCATGGCCAATATGGAGAAACCCCATCTCTACTAAAAATACAAAAATTAGCCCAGAGTGGTGGCGGGCGCCTGCAGTCCCAGCTACTGGAGAGGCTGAGACAGGAGAATCCTTTGAACCCTGGAGGTGGAGCTTGCAGTGAGCCGAGACCACGCCATTGCACTCCAGCCTGGGTGACAGAGCGAGACTCTGTCTCAAAAAAAAAAAAAAAAAAAAAAAGACTCACCCCTCTTTGTTCTCCCAAAAAAAGGAAAACTTTGGGCTCTATTTTTATGGACTACTGGGGAAATAAATTAAGCTACTGGAGCTTGCACCAAGAATGACAAAAGGGGAAACGAGCTCACCTTTTAGGAGTGGGAAGAGCTGAAACCTGGCAGCACAGAGAAAGAATCTTAACGTAAGGGGCACTATTCAAGTGTGTGAGAGCTGTATACTATATTGTCTTTGCCAGCTGGTCACCTAGTCTTTCCTGGAGTGAAAAATCTCCCACTGCCCTACCCATCTGCCGCTGCCTACTCTCTGTGGATATGCTCCAGCTCTCATAATTGAAAAGAGGCCTAGTAGGGTGTAAGGGTGACCTCTTTTTGCTGAGGGCTGAACTAAGGGAAACCTGCAGGCACGTTCATTGAGATTTCAAAGCATTTTTATGCCTGACAGCTAAATATAGTTGACAGAATAACACAGCAGAAAGATTGAAGTCAGACTAACCTGGCCTTGAACCCTGGCTCTGTCCTTTACTACTGTGTGCCTTTTCCTCTAAGTTTCATAGTAGCTGTGATGATTAAATAATATATGTAAAGTATTGAGAACAGTGCCTGGTATATAGCAACTACTCCATAATTGTCAGCTTTTATTATTGCTTCTCTTTATATAGTGTTATGGATTGAATATTTATAGCTTTTCAAAATACGTATGTTGAAATCCTAGCCCCCAGTGCAATGATAATAGACACTGGGGCCTTTGGGAGGTGATTGGACCATGAGGATGCAGCCCTCATGAATAGGATTAGTGCCCTTATAAGAGAGACCTCAGAGAGCTCCCTTGCCCCTTCCACCATGTGAGCACAAAGGGAGAAGACAGCAGTCTATGAACTAGCAAGCAGGCCCTTACCAGACACCGAATCTGCCAGCATCTTGATCTAGAACTCCCCAGCCTTCAGAACTGTGAGAAATAAATGCTGTTTAAGCCACCCAGCCTATAGTATTTTTGTCATAGCAGCCTGAATGGACTAAGGCATGAAGAATCCATAAATCAGTAAGAATTTTATTTTGGGTCTTTGTCAGTCTTAATTATAAGCCTACATTGATGGGAGACTAAGAATTAAATGAGTAAATAAAAGCTGGTGTATTTGTTACACCATGTTTTACATGTAGAAGTCACAGCATAGTTTGAAAAATGAGATTTTCACATACAGGACATGACTATATATGAGTAAATGACTTATAAATAAAATGTTACATCATGTAGTTTTTTCTCTAGCCTTTTATATAATTATAACCCATATAAAGTTGCCACACTCTCACTCCTGGACAAGAGTCATTTAAACCCAAGCAGAGTTTGGCAGACCATTCCAAGCTACTGTGTGACAAACTGCTCCTACCTCAAAAGTTTAGTTTTTAAACTCTGGCATTCCAGCCTGTCCCTGCCTTTGGTCTTATTTGATATCCATTATCAGACAAATTACCAGATGCTTATTTGTGTTTATTCTGACTCAAGCTTAAGTCCCCTCAGATCTTTTGAATATCAGTCTATATTGTGATTTATCATGACCTAAGGTTTTACCCAAATACAAATTCTATCCCCCTAAGTGATTTCAGATTGGAGGCATCGGCTTCACACTTCCCCAAGTTTTTCTTCCTATTTAAAGCTCTGCATCACCTTGTCTTCCTAAAGTTCTGCCCTTATAGGTAGCTTTCAAGAATCTATAAAATCTATACTTATTTGAGAAGGAGGGTAAATTTTTTATTGAAGGTTAACACACACAAAAACAGAAAACTGCACAAAATGTAAGTGTACAGCTTTATAGCTTTTTACAAAATGAACACTCCTGTGTAACCTGTACCCAGATTAAGAAACAGTTGCAGTCCATCTCCTTTTTCCTATTGCAGACCTACTAGTTTAATTTGATCTGCTTCTTATTGACCTTCCATAAATAAAATTAAACAATACTGACTTGTCTTTATCTGACTTCTTTGCTCAATACTATGTTTGTGAGATTCATTCATATTTTTGCAGATGGCTATAGTTCATTTATTTCTGTTACTATATGTATTTCTTTACTTGATATAACACAATTTATTTACCCATCTTATTATTAATGAATATTTGGGTTGAGTCTAGTTTTTTGGTTATTAGAAATGTTGTTATAACACACTTGCCTGAGTCTTTTGGCAAATATCTAAACATTTCTGTTGCTTATGTACCTAGAAGTGAGATGGCTGGTTCATATGATTTGCAAATGTTCAACTTTAATAGATACTGCCACCCAGTTTTTCAAAGTGGTTGCAACAATGTACCTACCACACTTGGTATTGCAGAGCCCTTTTATTAGTTTGGTGCAAAAGTAATTGCGGTTTCTGCCATTAAAGGTAAGGGCAAATAAGTACAATTCCTCAAAATAAATTTCCTCATTTATGCTATACAGCTCACCTGCCTCCCACTGTATTGAGAGACTTTTTGGCTTCCCATCCCCACCTTCCATCCCTACATTCCCTGTGCTAATAAGTATTTACATTAAACTTAAATTCACCCCTCTGGTACTACCTGATATGCACTATCGTCAGTAAAGAAATGGCACTACACATTGTATAGTCTTCTTAGACTTCTCATAGTTAACTTTTCTTAACTTGGAGCTATCTGATAGTAACAATCATAGATATGTAGTCACAGACACACACACACACAAACACACACACACGCATACACACACGCCCCTGGTGCTAGTAGATGAAAAGTACAAATTTTATACACCTTTTATTTCAAAAAAGATCATGCTATATTAGATCCTAAAATATAAAGAACCCTTTAAAATGACTAAAAACAAAGTGAATGGGAATAAGATAGCAATATTAGAGACTTACTTCTTCACAGCAAGAAGTATGACTTCAGTGCCATAATATTGGAAACATCATAGGGTGAAGATTAAAGTGTAATGCAAGTGTATGATATTGAGTCCCTCTAAGATCTGCTTCTTATTAAATTTACCCAAAAAAGAATTCACTCACGTTCTTCTTCCTAAATGTAGTTCCTTTTACTAGAAAAGAGATCATATAAATTCTTGGGCATTCAATTTCCCGCTAAAGCATTTCTCAGTGCTAAATTCAACTTTTTCCAAATGCAGAGGATAGATAAGACACTTCAAAGAAAGCACTTCAGGTAAGACATTGCATTTTCTTCAAATCCACCCCCATGTTCACGCATTCTTCTTTACATAAGTGTTTAAGCACCTATTTAATACATGTAGAATTATGAAGAATAAAGTGGAGGATTATAACGTTCCTGTTTCAACGTTCTTATGGCTTATAAGAAATAAGTAATAGGCTGGGTGGGGTGGCTCACAACTGTAATCCCAGCACTTTGGGAGGCCGAGGTGGGTGGATCACGAGGTCAGGAGATTGAGACCAACCTGGCTAACACGGTGAAACCCCGTCTCTACTAAAAATACAAAAAATTAGCCAGGCGTGGTGACGGGCGCCTGTAGTCCCAGCTACTCGGGAGGCTGAGGCAGGAGAATGGCGTGAACCTGGGAGGCGGAGCTTGCAGTGAGCCAAGACTGCGTCACTGCACTCCAGACTGGGAGAGAGAGTGAGGCTCCGTCTCAAAAAAAAAAAAAAAAAGAAGAAGAAGAAATAAGTAATAAATATTATTTAAATTTATTTATTTGTAACCCCCAGCTTTTCTCTATAAAGAAAGATATCCTTAGTTTTCTATCTCTTTTGGATAAAGAACGTTATTCTTTACTTGAAACTATATTAACTACAGCAAAGAAATCTCAATTATTCTCCCAGCAACAGATTTCTCCCTCAGTTAAGAGATTTCTATCTATTACTTTGTGCACTATTATGTATTTTTTAAAATCTGGCTTGATTATGCTCCCTTTTGTAAATAACCAAAGACTGGAGTTTAGTTTCTATGGAAATCAGCCTCTCTGTCTCTGTCACTGTCTCTCTCTCTCTCTGTCTCTCTCTCTCTCACACACACACACATACACAAACACACACACACACACAGAGTGAAGGCTGGGAATAATGAGCTGAATTCTCTATAAAACTCAATATTCCAATCTGAATGTAAATTATAAACCTTGCACAAGGGATCAATTTTACCACTTGGAGTGCAAGAATATATTCCTTAGCATTAAGCCATGATTTTGAGAGCTAAGTTTGGGGTTATTTAAAATTATTTTCCCTTTGTCATTTTCATGGGTTTTTTTAGGGGGTGGGGGCCTTAGTAAAAGAAAAATGCATTATGCCATTAATTAAAATTAAATGCCTCTCTTGCAGATAGCTGTAAGTCTATTAGACTCCTAAACTACCCTTTGTCATTTTTAATAGACTTTTCCTAGACTTCATGTACCATATGTACACAAGTCACTCTATTCTCCTCTTGAGTCATGCATTTAGGTCCTATTAACACTAATGGAATTTATATGCATGCACACTGAGGGAGAATAAGCCCCTTAAACACCTTTTTAATGGAACAGTTTTGTTTCTTTCCATTCCTCTTCACACTCCTCTGTTTGGACTTTCTCTTACCAATCTGTGCTTCCAAATAATATAGTTCTGATTTCTTTTTCAGCTCTTATGCTTTATTTTTTATTGAATTCCAGGGCTCAAGTTAGGACTTAACTTCCCCTCTTTTATTGATAATTCCTGGAAAAAGCAGCATGACTAAATCATTACTACTGTATTAGATTTTCTGGTTTCAGAGTGAAATTCAGATGTTGCTTTCATTCAACATTTCATTTCATTTCAAAGTTCTTACTTTCCAGCAAATATATTTAACCCACAGGCTATTTTTTTTTTTATCCTCCTGAAGACTTAACTAGCCAGGAGCCAATTAAGATAATGAATATTTACCCAGGAGGCTAAAGACTTTTCCACGTTAACATGCAAATAAATAGGCATGATTTCAGACTCCCCTACTTTATAATGTTTTTATTTGTTTATACTTTAGGGAGGTTTTTTTTTTTTTCATCTTTTAAGTATCTATCACACAGGACTTCAGCAACATGCTCAAATTTAGAACAGTAAAGTATCAGGAAATGCCTTTGGAACCATAAAGCTGCAGAAAGTAAACCTCTAATGCGTGTACTAACAATCATATTTTTGTTTAGCTCTTAGAAATGCATTACTCTTTATTGTTCTTAAAATAAATAATCTTTATCAATAGACAGCTTTGTTTTTCCTTCCCCTATGTAAAATGAGAGACGGAATAAGACTGTTATGACCAAGTGCCTAGCAGAGTACCAGACTCACAGCATTAATCTGAATCACATGAAACTGCCATTTTTGTAGATCAAAAGCTGTTGAATAAGTGTTTAAAAAAATTTGTTGGGAAAAAAATAAAAATAAAAAAATAAAAACAGGTTACCCACACACACACAAAAAAATCTGTTGAATACATCTGTTAAAAAAATAAATAAGTGAATGAAGTCTCTTTCAAGAGTAAAATTTTATTTTTATTCTAATTTCAAAAATTAAAACAATAGTCTAAGGTAGTTAAAATATACATTAAGCAATGAACTTTTCCCAGTCATTTAATGGAATAAAACTCTAAAACTGACTAGTGACTGTTGTTTTCTGACTCATTTTTTGGGCGGGGAGGGGGTACAGCAAATCTAATATTAATTAATTGCCACTAAAGGTAAGCTTAAATTTACATTATAGATAGATGATATTCTGATATATTTGAGCACTTGGAAAATAAATTGATATATGAAAGATCTGATGGTGTGTGTGGAAAGAATTGAGGATAAACATATGAAAAACTGAATAAGTAAATTTAATTAAAAATTATACAAGAAAGAGGCCGGGCGCTGTGGCTCACGCCTGTAATCCCAGCACTTTGGGAGGCCGAGGCGGGCGGATCACGAGGTCAGGAGATTGAGACCATCCCGGCTAACACGGTGAAACCCCGTCTCTACTAAAAATACAAAAAATTAGCCGGGCATGGTTGCAGGCACCTGTAGTCCCAGCTGCTCCGGAGGCTGAGGCAGGAGAATGGCCTGAACCCGGGAGGCGGAGCTTGCAGTGAGCTGAGATGGCGCCACTGCACTCAGCCTGGGGGACAGAGAGAGACTCCGTCTCAAAAAAAAAAAAAAAAAAAAAAAAAAATTATACAAGAAAGAAACCATAATTATAGCATATTACTTAACTTCAGTAAATAATATTCACATATCACAACCATATAACTCTTTTTAGTTATTCCAAAATATTATCTAAAAATACAAATTATCTATGCATTATGCCATTAATTAAAATTAAATGCCTCTCTTGCAGATACCTATACATCTATTAGAATTACCTGAATTATTATCTAAAAATGTCAATACCAGTAGAAAGAGTTCAAAATATTGAAGCAGATTATGGATGGGAAGTATGAAAATGTGAGAAGGAAATTTCTACTTTTAATCATGACATTTAGAACTTCAGGAAAACCCCTTGACCACACACCTCACAATATTACGAATTTCAGTGTAACTGAAGGAATTGGTGATGGGTTCCCATGCTCTGAACTAGACTCACCCCAATTATGTTAAGTTTACAATACTGCAACCCTATATTCTACCCAATTGAATTTTTTGACCCAATTTAGACTGTTATATGAGGTTTTATATCATTTGCATTTTAACTACATGCAAATATTAATATGATAAAAAATTAATTTAGAAAAACTTGAATTTCCTATTGAACCTATCCAAATTTTATTATTTTAAGCAATTAACTCCAAGTTGGAAGGTAAAGGTGATAGTGAGAGAGGAGGGGAACTCAGGCCACTCCTAGGTAACTTTAACTCGACTTCACAATCTTACCTTTTTTCTCTGATTCCTCACTATTTCCAGCCACCTTTTTCTCACAGCTGACTGGCAGGAGGGTATGGAGCACTTTAGGTGCTATGGCCAGAATGAACAGGATAGGAAAAAAATCGTTTGAGTTCCTTAGTTTTCCTGCTGTAAGCCTCAATGCAACCTCATTATTTTGACATTAATTTTGCATTCATGCAATAAAATAACTTCCACTATATTTTAGGAATGTAAAAAGCATGAGAAGGTAATACAGTTCATGAAAACTTACTTTGTATTTTCTGACTTTCAAAATTGGAAAATTCAACTCTGTGCAAAAATGTATCTACCCACTTTTTTCATGAATGTATCCTCCATTATGTCCAATTTATTATGGGAATCAAGTCTTTATCAGAATAATTAATCAGATAAAATGGTTTTTGAGCCCATTCTGGAGGTGTGATGTCTATATTCCTTGCATACAAAGGTGAGCATTATAAATGAAATATGGTGTTTAGTAGATACTTAATCAGAAAAGCTTTTCAGTTCAATGCAGTGTCATTTTGGAGTTAAAAGGGGATCATGATTAAATAATTATTATGGCTTTTAACATTAGCCCCTTGCTGACTCAGGAAAGAAAGTTACCCAGATAGTGGGGCCAGAGCAGAAACAAAATAATTCAAAACCACAACGACAAAACAGATTAGGTAGTGTTTAAAACGAAAAACCCTAAATGGGCCCACCTTTGAGAATGTCTTCTCTATTATTCGGAAGTGGTAGCCCACTATGCCAGGTCAACTGAGAGCTCCCTGGGAGTGAAAACCCACTGCAGCCCCAGAATAATTTTGAACCCAAGTTCCAGTTGGAGATCCAAAGTGCTGGTACTTGGATCCTCCAATTGCTGCTTCTAGAGTATTGTTTTAACTTGCTCATTCAAAAATCCCTTTTCTGTGAGTCCCACGGCATCTTTTTGTAGCCATTTTCTCAGATAATAAGCAAAGCATAGTGTGATTAGGAGCATGAACTCCTGAGCTATATACTCCTAGGTTTAAACCTCAGATTCTCCACTTATTAAGTGTCTGGCCTTGGTAAATTATTTAACCTTTCAGTCTCAATTTCATCATCTGTAAAATGAGGGTAATTATAATGCCTGTTTCACAGATTTTCTGTGAACATTAAATGACTTATCACATGTAACAGAACAGTACCAAGCATGTAGTAGACATTTTGTAAATTCCAGCTGTTATTTAACAGGCTGAACTCAATAGGTGCACTTCCTCTTCCTCGACCACACACACACACACACAGACACACACACACACACTCACACGAGTCCCTTTAAACCCATTATAAGATCTTGTTTCTTCCTTGGATTAAATATTGGACTGATCCTATAACTTTTCCATAATTTTCAAGATTACTCCAATCATCTTCTATCCCAATAAGTTATATTTGAATAATTAAAACATAGAGTCGTATTAAATCACTAGAATTTCCAACTTTTAACTAATGTGGAGATTTTCCTCTATCCCAGCTTGAAACCATTTATACCTGGAAGGCTTTGTGCATTGGCTGGGATGAGAGGGGATGTGAAGGGTCAGCTTTTGCTCTCCCTCCTTCTCACCAATTAGCTTTACTTCCTCTGCTAGCATCCTTGTCAGCATTCCCGACCCTTCCAAAGCCTGCCCCGGGAGAAGTGGGTATTATGGGAGCACGCTGAGCTTGGGAGTTGATTAGAGCTGGTACTTTCCCTAGCAGAGTGCTTTGGAAGTTTTCTCAGAAGTTTACATTTTTTAAAGGAAGGGGTCGTCTTTCTCTGGCTGGTCACTAATTACCTCAACTCTAATCTCCCGGGCATTTGGCAGTCCACCCCAGCCTCTCTCTACTGGGGTTCCATCGCCATTCAAAGAGCCCTCTCAGTCGGACGACTTTTTTTTTTTTTTTTTGAGACGGAGTCTCGCTCTGTCACCCAGGCTGGAGTGCAGTGGCGCGATCTCGGCTCACTGCAAGCTCCGCCTTCCAGATTCATGCCATTCTCCTACCTCTGCCTCCGGAGTAGCTGGGACTACAGGTGCCCGCCATCGCACCCGGCTAATTTTTTGTACTTTCAGTAGAGACGGGATTTCACCGTGGTCTCAATCTCTTGACCTCGTGATCCGCCCGCCTCGGCCTCCCAAAGTGCTGGGATTACAGGCGTGAGCCACCGCGCCCATCAGCCGGATGACTTTTAAGTTGGCCCCAAGAGTCCACTCCCCTATACCAAGTTCCAATGGTCTCACCTGCTTCACAGGAAAACTCATGCATCCTCGCCTTGCGTGAAGGTATGTCTCGCCCTTTTGGTCTTCTCAATTGCAGGTCAGTATCATTAAACCAAGCATCCTCAACTCCAGGGCACATGTTTCAAGTTTCCAGGTGGAAAGAATCGTGTACAACCTGTGCAGGACTCCTCCTTTCTCCAGTGCTGGAAGGACTGGTTATGCACACACCAAATCTCCCCAAGGAATCTTCTCTCCATCCATGTAGCATGTCCTGACGAGGCAATCCAGCACCTCCTTTGGCACACCGTGGTGACTGGGCAGATACTGATTTATTCTCAGTCTTTGGAGCCTCAGCCAAAACTGTGATGTAAAGTATTCCATCTTATATTTTGTTACATTTGTTTTTAACTACTGCTCACTTCCAAGCCACTCTGCACATTCATCGAGGTATTTGATTGCTAGATTAATCTTCTTTTTACAGCCTGGTGCCTTTTTCATCAGTGGAGGGATTTAATTTCTGTGAATTTAGTTTTACCTGCCTGTGGGGCGAGGGGTATTTGGTAGTGAAAAGATAGATAACAATTTCAACACTGCTTGCAGTTCCATGGCCATTCTTCTCAGTGAATTTATAACCCTGTGTAAGCTCCAGCTGGAGTTGAGTCTGCTATTTCCTAGGATGTATTCTGTTCCTGATATGCTTTTATACTATGAGCATCTCACCTTACTGAGCATGAGTCTATTATTTTAAAATATATGTTTTTCATACCTATAGCCCCTAAATGCAAACCAAAATACATGTGGTTCTTAACGAGAAACACTGATCTTTTCTAAAGCTAGAGGGGAAACTGAAAATTAACTTGTGTAAAAAAAAAAGAGGTCAGGCACAGTGGCTCACACCTGTAATCTCAGCACTTTGGGAGGAGGAGTTGGGCGGATCTCTTGAGGTCAGGAGTTGGAGACCAGCCTGGCCAACACGGTGAAACCCTGTCTTTACTAAAAATACAAAAATTAGCTGGGCATGGTGGTACGTGCCTGTAATCCCAGCTACTTGGGAGGCTGAGGCAAGAGAATCAGTTGAATCTGGGAGGTAGAGGTTGCAGTGGGCTGACATTGCACCACTGCATTCCAGCCTGGGCGACAGAGTGAGACTGTCTTGGTGTAAAAAAAAAAGAGAGAGAGAGATAGAGAATATAGGCATAGGGTCACCAATTTGTCCTGGTTTGCTCAGGAGTTTCCTAGTTTTAGCACTAAGAGTCCCATATCCTGAGAAGCTCCTCGGTCCTGGGCAAACCAGGGTGGTTAATGACCCTGCTAGTTGGGTCCAGCGTGATAGTTAATTTTATGTGTCAACTTGAGTGGACCAAAGTTACCTGGATACCTGGTAAAACATTATTTCTGGGTGTGTCTGTAAGGTTGCTTCTGGAAGTGATTAGCATTTGAATCAGGAGATGAGTAAAGAAAATCGTCCTCACTAAGGTGGGTGGGCACGGGCACCATCCAATCTATTCAGGGCCCAAATAGAACAGAAAGTTGGAGAAAGAAAGGGCAAATTTTCTCTCTCTTCTTGAGACATCTATCTTCTCCTGCCTTTGCACATCACAGCTCCTGGTTCTTGGGCCTTAAGACTCCAGGACTTACACCAGCACCCCCTAGTTTCCAATCCTTTGGCCTCAGACTGGGAGTTCCATTGTTGGCTCCCCTGGTTCTCAGGCCTTTGGACTCAGACTGAATTACCCCACTGGCTTTCCTGGGTCTCCAGCTTGCAGATGGCATACCATGGGACTTCTCAGCATCCATAATCAAGTGAGCCAATTCCCATAACAAATCCCCTCTTATATATCTCTCTGTATATCCTATTAGTTCTATTTCTCTGGAGAACTGACTAATGCAATCCAGGCATCAGAAGGAGCAGAGGTTCTTGGAAGAGTGTGAGGCTGTGCCTGAACACCCCTCAGCCCAGGCTCCAGCTCTCCTCAATGTCACTCTCTCCCAGTTCTCTTCCTGCCTTTCCCATTGTTTTTGCCTAGGCTAAGTGAGGGAAAGAAAAATAAGCCTTAGATGGCTTAAGTCAAAGGTCTAAAAAGCCAGGTTACTAATGTTTTATGCAAGGTGGTTTTTTTAAAGGAATTTCTAGAACTTTTCACTGTGTGTTTCTCAAAGACTCTTTTATACCACAAGGAGGAAAAGGAAATGAACCACGAATAGCAAAGTGGTCTGCCCTTAGCCACACAACAATCATGGGGAAGATCTACGGTTTCCTGTTGTTGGCCTGGCCTGCTGAACCATTTTTCTTGCTAAGTTACTTAAGCCTATCTGGGCTTCAGTTTGGTTTTGTCTGTTTTATAATCTTTAACTTTTTAAAAAAGAAACAGTATATTTTGTGTGTAAGCCAGTGGCTGATGACGAGGATCAAATAAGAAAAGTTTGACAATGCATGTGAAAACCTCCTACTCAGACCTCCTTCCTCTAAGTCTCCAGGCCACTCACACTGCCAGCTCATTTTGGCCTAGTTATTTGCTTGTTCTCTCTGTCCCAAACATTAAAACTTGCCTGTCCAAGATTCCTCAACATTTGTTTCATTGAGCATGTCAAAAGAAAACCAAGTAATCTGAAAAAAATAAAACATAAAAACCTCTTGGCTAATAGAAGAAGGTAAACGGGTCTTACTCTCCTTCTAGTTTGCATCGTGGGCTTCCTTTTAGAAAGGAGGCCCTACATTTTTCTGGTCTAGAAGAGTGGTATCTAATGGCAGGACTATCACATCAGGTAGAATGTGATGGCAAAAAATAGATGGAAGAAACATTTGAGAACAGAGAGAGTTTTGGAGTTTCCTGAATCCGCACTAAGCCATCCATAACTGATTCCATCAGCTCGTTGTTAACACTGAAGTGATAGAACAAGGATTCAGAGCGAGAACCCAACTGATGGATCCTGGTAGTGAAATCGAGTAATACAGGTGCGCTTGTTCTATGTCTAACATCTTTACACAGTAGCATGATTTTCTAAAACTGTGGCCATTTTCAGGGTGAAGTATATATAGCCAAAATCAAAAGAACAAAAATAGATAACGCGTTTTAAAATTAGAAGTATGTCTCTCAGCCAGGCACAGTGGCTCATGCCTGTAATCCCAGAACTTTGGGAGGCCAAGGCAGGCAGATCACTTGAGGTCAGGAGTTCGAGACCAGCCTGGCCAACAAGGTGAAACCTCGTCTCTACTAAAAATACCAAAATTAGCCGGGCATGGTGGTGTGTGCCAGTAGTCCCAGCTACTCAGCAAGCTGAGACAGGAGAATGGCTTGAACTCAGGAGGCAGAAGGTGCAGTGAGCTGAGGTTGCTCCACTGCACTCCAGCCTGGGCAACAGAGTGAGACTCCGTTTCAAAAAAATAAAATAAAATAAAGTAAAAAGTATGTGTGTGAAGTTTTCACTTCAAAAGCTAATCTGCAGCCAGATTGGGAATATTAATGCACAATACTGATGTCAGCAGGCATTATTTAATCAGTGATAATGACTGAGATAGGGTCTGTTCAAATGACTGCAATCAACTTTACAAGTTGTGCTGGTTGTTCTTTTTTTTTTTTTTTGACGCAGTCTCACTGTGTCACCAGGTTGCAGTGCAGTGGCGCAATCTCAGGTCACTGCAACCTCCACCTCCCGGGTTCAAGCAATTCTCCTGCATCAGCCTCCCAAGTAGCTAGGACTAAAGGCACATGCAACCACGCCCAGATAATTTTTGTATTTTTAGTAGAGACGGGGTTTCACCGTGTTGGCCAGGATAGTCTCGATCTCTTGACCTCGTGATCTGCCCGCCTCAGCCTCCCAAAGTACTGGGATTTCAGGAGTGAGCCACCATGCCCGGAGGCTGGTTATTCTTTATTTTTCATATAGATCTATTGTATAACAGGGAACCGTCAGGAGATCAGAGAAAGCTGGAGGATGGAGAAATTGGGGGATATGTTCTGCATCCTTTCCTGTCCAACTCCCTCTTTCTCTCTGCCAGGCTCTGGTTTGACAATGACTGTGTTACTCTATGCAGGGCCAGAGTTCATGCTGGATGGGCCTCGTGGCATGGCTACAGTTCTCATCAGCTTTCAGTAAAGTCATTTCCTCTCCACTTGCCGCTTCAGCCCTCACAGTTCTAACAGCTTCCCACTGATGCTAGTCCTCAGGTAGTCACCATTTCTTTTTGGTTCTCATAACCATGCCCAGCCTTTGTGAATAGTCTCTCCATCAAACTCATTTCAATTGATCCCTTTAATTGTATTATCTGCTTCCTGCAAGGATACTGAGTGATACACGTACAAAAGATAAAATGGAGAATTGAAGAAATTTCTAAGTTACACAGATGTAAAAGAAAACATAAAATGACTTTTATCTGATATTTTTACATAATTAAAGTACTTCAATGCTTCATCCTTCTCCATGTGGACAGTGCAAGAATCAACTCCATTCAAAACAGTGTCTTCATTTTTCCCAGTTTTTTTATACAAGTTCTTTCAAAAATCTTTATTATAATATTAATTCTTTAACTATCCTCCAAAGATTATTCACCTCTTGGAGGTATTTTGAAAGATTTTTGTGTAATGTATAATGTCAAAGAGAACATTACAATTTTCATGTAATAAGTCCCTGGTTCACTCCCAGGTTTGGGCTCCCCCCAAATATATATGCTAAAATACATATGAAGTCATCTAGCTTTCTTTTTCCGAAAGCACAGCAAAAAGATGAGCATAAGTTCAGGGATACTGGAGTTGCTGAAGAAATCAAATGACAACTCTAGATTCTAAATGAAAAATAATTACTACAAGGGAAGACTGAAAACCATTAGACAATAGATGTAATATCAAATAAATGCAGCCATTATCCCACTCTAATAGATCTTTAATTTCCTAAAGGTCTCTGCAGTTTAGAAAATGTTTCCATACATGTAGAGGTTTGCTAATTGCCTCCCGTGTACAGTTCTCCTTTGCCTTGGGAACAGAAGTAGAACTCTGGGTTTTAGTTGAGCGTATAGCCACCGAACTAACAGACTACATTCCCCAGCCTCCTCTGCAGTTAGTTGTAGCCAGGTAGCTGAGTTCTGACAAATGAGATCTGAGTGAGGTGAGTGGAACATACAGCAAGTCTCCTTAAGAGAAGTGCTCTTCTTCCCTTTCCCTCCTTTTTGTTGGCTGCAAAGCAGACAGGATGCTTGGAGCTTAGACCAGATGCTCTGAACCACAAGCAGCATGCGGATGGCAGAGCAGCAACATAGAAGCAGCCTGGGTCACTGATGATGGTGGAGTTTTCTTACCAGCCCTAAGCAACCTACCTCCAGACTCTATTCATGGAAAAGAAAAATCAATTTCTATCATGTTTAAATCACTCTTAATTTGTATTTTTAAAATCATATAAAGCCAATTGTAATCCTAAGCTATATAATTTATATTATCTTACCTAATTGTAAGCTAAATGAAATTGTGTGAGGGTAGAAGTCATGTATTTCTTCACTGCTAAACCCTCACAGTGCCAGCACAAAGTAGGCACACACGAAATCATTTCTCTAATTAAGTGAATAAATGAATGATCCATAAAAACACCCCTTTGAAAAAGATCATTGATAGGATAATGTTCTCCAAATGCGAACAATAATAATAGAAAGACTTTTTAAAAAAGCAGCATAGTACTGTGGACAAATGTGTGGGCTCTGGAACCACTCTGCCTGGCTCCAATCCTTACTCTGATACTTACCAGCTGTGGGTTGGAAAACTTCACTTAACTTCTCCCTGTAATATGTAAATAGAGAAAATATCAATACCTACCTAATAGAGCTTTTATAAGAATTAACTGTGTTGATATATTTCTAAAACCTAAAATAAATACTGGCATTAGCAAGCATTCAACAAATATTAACTAGTAGTAAGTACATATACAGCTGATCCTCATTATTTGCACATTCTGTATTTGCAAATTCGCCTACTCACTAAAACATATTTGAACCCCAACAATCAATGCTTATGGGCTTCTGTGATCATTCATAGAGCAGTGAAAATTTTGAGTCGCCCAATGCACACATTCCCCACTGAGCTGAACAAGGTGACACTCTCCATTTTTCAGCTCTCATACTGTAAACAAGTGACCTTTCCTCAGTCAATTTAGTTTTTACATTTTTGTGCTTTTTGTTGGTGACTTCACTGTTTAAAATCGTCCCCAACTGCACTGCTGAAGTGCTGTCCAGTAAGCGCAAGAAGGCTGTCATGCACCTCACAGAGAAAATACCCATGAAAGGTAAGCTTTGTTCACTCATGCATTACAGCTCTGTTGGCCATGTGTTCAATGTTAGTAAATCCACAATATATATTAAATAAGGTATAGAAATACACATAAAACAGGCTATGTATTGATCAATTGACAAACATGTTATGATAAGAGACTCACAGAAATCTAACCCTGTATTTCCCCTAGGTTCAGTATTCACTAATCCAGAATTGGCAGTAACTTTATAGAACATAAGCTATTAAAAATAATGAGAACTGACTCTCTGTGTGTGTGTTTGTGTGTGTGTGTGTGTGTGTACATAAAACAATAAGTTCTTTCTTGGCCAAGTGCGGTGGCTCACACCTGTAATCCCAGCACTTCGGGAGGCCGAGGTGGGTGGATCACTTGAGGTCAGGAGTTCGAGACCAGCCTAGCCAACATGGCAAAACCCCCTCTCTACTAAAAATAGAAAAATTAGCCAGGTGTGGTGGCTCACGCCTGTAGTCCCAGCTACCTGGAAGGCTGAGGCAGGAGAATTGCTTGAACCCAGGAGGTGGAGGTTGCTGTGAGCCAAGATCATGCCACTGCACTCCAGCCTGGGCCACAGAGCAAGATTCCGTCTCAAAAAAATTAATTAATTAATTACAAAGTACTTTATTTCCTAGGACCAATTTATGGCTAGCTTCAATTTATATTTTTGTTACATGAATCTTTAAGAGGAGGACTTGGTGATCCTTTCCATGGGGAGAAAAATTTCTAGCTGGACTTGGAGGGCTAATAACACAAAGCTTGAAATTGCAAAAGCCAAAGTGAATTTTTAGTTAACAACAACAAAAAAAATCAACAGGTAGTTGATCCAGAGGATTAGCTGGTGGGCTGAAGTGACAACCAGGAGTTCCTGAATGTAAGTGTTTGTCTTATTTTAAACTTCTGACAAGTTACTCAACTAACATAAGACTACACGGGAAGTACGTTAACAATGCAAGTTGTCTATGTCTAGTCCTGTAGTGGATAGGAGTCAGGTTCTAGACTTGACAGTGTAGACTAGAGGCAGTGTGAGTTGGGGTGATCCCTGGAAAAGAGAAGGCAGACCAGAACTGTGAACTCATATTTCCTGTTATAGTTATATATTAAATAAAATTCTTAATAAAGTAGATGATGTATTCCTCAAAATTAAAAAGAGAATTTTGTTGTTCACCAGCATTGGCTTTGGAATCAGCAGACCTGGGTGTGAATATCAACTCTACTATTTCCTAATTTAGAGGTCCTGGGCAAGTCAGTCAACCTTGGTTTTCTTTTTTGTTGTTTGTTTGTTTGAGGCAGAGTCTGGCTGTGTCACCCAGGCTGGAATGCAGTGGTGTAATCTCGGCTCACTGCAACCTCCACCTCCTGGGTTCAAGCGATTCTCCTGCCTCAGCCTCCCAAGTAGCAGGGACTACAGGCACGCACTACCACGCCCAGCTAATTTTGGTATTTTTAGTAGAGACAGGGTTTCACCATGTCAGCCATGCTGGTCTTGAACTCGTGACCTCAAGTGATCCATCCACCTCAGCCTCCCAAAGTGCTGGGATTATAGGCATCAGTTGTTTTTTTATTGATTGGTTGTTTTATTGATAAAGTCAGGAACTAATACCTACCTCAAAATATTGTTTATATGTTTAAATGTTGCATGTGTATGACAAATACCATACTGCTAGGCATATAGTCAGTTTTCAGTAAGCAGCAATAAATATATAATCCCAGGTTTTGTCTTTCTCTTCAGTAGAAAAGAAATCCTTAGCTTATATGTATACCAAGATGTGATTATTTTAGCAAATATTTTAATATACTTTGAAAAGAACATAAGTATTTGGTGTGTTTCATCTCAATTACAATAATCATATTAATACTCAATCTCTGCACTTCTTTTTTTTTACTTTAAGTTCTGGGGTACATGTGCAGAACGTGCAGGTTTGTTACATGGATATACATGTACCATGGTGGTTTGCTGCACCCATCAACCTGTCACCTAGGTTTTAAGCCCCGCATATTTGTCCTAATGCTCTCCCTCCCCTTACCCCCCTCCTCCTGACAGACCCTGGTGTGTGATGTTCCCTTCCCTGTGTCCATGTGTTCTCATTGTTCAGCTCCCAATTATGAGTGAGAATATGTGGTGTTTGGTTTTCTGTTCCTGTGTTAGTTTGCTGAGAATGATGTATTCCAGCTTCGTCCATGTCCCTGCACTGGACATGAACTCATTCTTTTTTATGGCTGCATAGTATTCCATGGTGTATATGTGCCACATTTTCTTTATTCAGTCTATCACTGATGGACATTTGGGTTGGTTCCAAGTCTTTGCTATTGTAAATAGTACTGCAATACACATACTTGTCAATCTCTACACTTCTTAACATCAGAGAAATGTGTCAGGGAAAAGAAAACTTATTTTAAAGGTTTTTAATTATAGGAATTTGGAAATTAGCTCAAAACTTCTTCTTCTAGAGACCTTTCATTAAGGAAAGCATAATTTTGTCACTGAGCCCCAGGTTGATATTTAGAGATTAGACATCTAATCACAATGGATTGACACATTCATTCATTCATTCATCACTTGTTGAGAATACACTAAAGGCCAGATTCTGTCCAATGCCCTGGGAATTTAGCTGTGAGCAACATACGCATGGTCCCTGCCCTGTGGTCTTGGGAGGAGAGGAGGAAAATGAAAGCATAAAACAATTACACAAACAACTGTATAATTATAAAAAATGATACACCTCAAGAAGTGTTACATCAGGACACACGTGATCCAGCCTCAGCATTCTTTCAAAGAAATAATGAGTAATTATTTCAGGAACTAATGAGTAATTCCAGGAACTAATGAGTAACTCCAGGAACTAATAAGTAAGTCTAGAACTAATGAGTAATTCCAGTATAACAATGGGAAGAAAATATTTCTCCTTCAGTGACACTTCCAAAAATTCCCTCTCCTCTTGTACTTGCCTGACTCCTCAGAGCCACAAAACATCTCATCCCCTATCCTGAGGCCACAATGGTCTCTTAATTTCTATTTGTTTCCCATTTTCCACCTCCCTGGTTTCTTCCCCATTCCCATTCCACTCCGTTCCCCAACAATATCCCCAAATCCTCCTTGGACGTGTAAGAGTGGAATAAACAAAGCAGCACACTTTTTACAAGTTGCGAGAAAAAGGCCAGGGATATCCTCTGATATTAATTTTTATTACTGTGCAGAAGGAAAACTACAGGGTTTAATAGAAGCATTCAATAGGAAAGCCCAACCAGTCTGGTAAAAATAGAGAAAAATCCCTGGGAAAATAACATTTAAGTTGAGACTGGAAGAAGAAGCAGTTAGTGGAGAGAGGGAAGAAGAGGACATGAATGAGATAGAAAACAGCACGGCATTGGCGGAACAAAGAAAAGGTCAATGTTGTCAGGGCAGAGCAGGGAGAGAGAAGTTTCCCTCATTTGGTGAATGAGGCTGGATAGGCAGAGAGGGGCCAGATCATGCAGGGTTTTATCTTAAAAGCAATAGGAAACCACTGAAGAGTATTTATTTTGTATTTATGAATATAATTCATTATGAATATAATTCTTTATATTTTCAGGTCAAATTTTGTGAATGTTTTTGGTAACACTGGTTTTTTAAAGCCAAGAATATTACTCCGAACTTTTCTCATCCACTATCATAACATACTCACCAAGGCTTTTTATTTTGAAATGAGAGTGATCCATGTACCTTAGTTTCTAAAATTCACTTTTCTTTAAAATGAAAATCACATAGAAAAAATGAATATATCCTGCACCTATGCACAAATGCATTCCAGTTTGAATTGCTATAGACCATGTGTTGAAACACCCCAAATAAGGTTATTCCAGGAAATATAGCATAATTATAGCTCAAAACGTAGCTCTCCTTGATTATATTATGAAACCCAAAATGGACTTGTGACACAGGTTAGTTTTCAAACATTGAAATACACACATTTTTATCTTCCTCTATGCTTGTAACAAAGATTCCTTCTCTCTGTGTTCACACTGAATGACTGTGTTCAGCAGGGAAGAAACCAGTCTCTCATACCATTCTTTTCCCAAACACCTGGTTATTCAGTTTTAACAAGGTGACTGGTTTCCACCATAACTCTGCTATTTTTCCACTTGGCTGAGTCCCCCTGGACCTTAAAGTAAAAACCTATGTAACATTAGCGTTCCTACTTATACTATACGGGTTCCACCTACATCATGCCACTAATTTACAGGGGATACTGTGAATAATGCAAATAGGTATTCCTTCCTGTGCACTTTCATTTGAATCTCTCTGAGATGGACCAAAAGGCAATATTATTCAGATCTTTCATTTTCTACCTCAATTCATATTTCACTGATTTATAAGCACAGGTAGAACTCTTTCATCTGCTGCTGGCTCCTTTCCTAGTTTATTGTGTATTTGAAATAACCATAAAGCGAAAAGATTTGCCAAGTTACCTTATTTATAGGATTAGAATAATGGTTGCCATTTACCTTTCAGACCAAAGTTCTTTCAAATATAACTAGAAGGAGGTCATTCCACAGTTGCAGTTACCCTTCCAAATGCTATAGAAATTCAGGGGAAGAGTGGTCATGTCAAACCCCCAGGTTGCATACTTTATATGGTAAAGTATGCCGTAAGGGTGTACCTGGTGCTTACTGAAACCATTCTAGTTTGAGAGCAGATGGACCATAAACACCAGGTAAATAATACTGGCTTTAATAATTTTTAATTAAATGGAGAACTTAGAAGTTGACCACAAAGTTCTCCTTCCTACCTGGCTATGGAGGGAACAATATTGTATACATTGAGGTTTAAAAAGAAAAGTATCACTCTTAGACCCAGGTGAACCGACCCTTGTCCTAAGCCCCATGCTGTAGAGGGCCCCACTCTTCCCCATGTTGCAGTCTCCTGTGCCCACTCAGAGGCTACACCCCCCACCCTTCGGGACCATTTCTGAATTCTAGGACCCCAGAATTCCTTGCCCAAATAGTCCTCAACCTGCTTCCAGAGTTTCTAGACCTAAAGGTGATCAAGTGGCAGCTGTCAGCGAGGAAGTGTGGTTGGTGCCTGGGTATGTGAATTGGGGTGTCCACACATACACAGGAAGCCCCTCGCCATGTAAGATGCAGCCAGCCATGGAGGAGACAGGGCCTGGCTCTCCCCATGCCTCCATGCTCTGGTAGGAAACACCAGGTTAAGAGAAAGAACATCTCTTACTGAACAATTTGATCACTTGATTTATAACTTGGAAATATTTAGATATATGATCTGCGGGCCTCTATTTATATTCTTGCCCCAAATCTCACAATTGTAAAAAATGGGCTTTAAAAGAATATATTGAATTCGAGACATCAGTGACTAATAGTAATCTGGGAAACTTTATATTCTTTTCTAAACATAAATCACTAGAACTGTAATACGAAAGATGTGACGAGGAAGAAAGAGGGAGTGGGACTCCACTGTTTAGATCAAACAGTAGCTTCAATCTCTTAAGTTGTGCTCTTTGTTCATTAAGCATGAGGAGCCAGCTAGAACATTCTTCTCTCTGCCACAAGAATTCCATCTGTAGAACAGAGGCTCCCAGGCTGCCAGCTGCTCTTCACTCCCCTGTCGTAAGAATGCAGCTGAGGTTGAAAACTTGTCACCAAGTTGGAGCCAATATCCACCTGTCCCTCTTGTCAGTCTCTTTCTATAAAGTCTTCCTGGGATTTAAAAACTAAAGCCATAAAAATGGGATTTGCCTTGACTCTTTCTAGAACAGCTATATACCATGCATGCATCATATGTCCCACAATGACGGTGTCTCTTAAAAATTGTGGTATTTAAATAAAATAACAGCTGTGCAGTACTATGAACAGCCATGACAGATATTCTTAGAAATTGTTTGCTTATTCAAATCACTGAATGTGGATTTTATTTTTCCAGTAAACCAAAAAAGAGAGAAAGAATAATAAAAGAGGGATGTTCACAGTTATAATTTATACAAAATCATGTCAAAAAATTTTCTATTTCTCATAAATAAAAAGCTAATATATAATTATATATCATAAGTATAGACTTTTTTCTATAGTAGGAAAGACAATGCTGCTATATAATATGCATGTCAATATGTCATTAATACCTAATACATTTTGAAAATATATAAATCCTTAATGGATTTTGCTTCAGTTTGGAAATTATATATAAGAGAATGTCTATCTGTTCATCAGATCATTAATAGGAAGACATGATTATGACATATATTTTAAAAACTTTATTTGGAAGAAAAGTATTGTAAAGATATCTTATGTAATCTCAAATTGTGTGTCTAAAATCAGAAAGGAGTGTAACTAAACACATAAAGCAAACTTCTTTTGGGATCTGAAAAGTATCACTGGGGGGAAGAGAGGTAGTCTGGCTCCAGCTCTGGATAAATATGCATTGCCACTTTGCAGCAAACGGGATGCGGCAATATGAGTTTGCAACCGGGCCAAGATTGGGGTATGGTGAGCAATAGTCTTTTACATATTTTGGAGTACTTTTCTTGTTCCATGGCTGCCTTTGTTGCAAGCAAATATTGTTTCTATGGGTTTTTTAACAGCTTTACAAAAATAGTTACCTGTTCAAACCCTTTCAGTGAAGAATTCAAAAGAAAAAGAGAAAGAAAATTGACTTCTGTACTTCCTAGGGCCACATGGCTCTTATTTGAGAATCAGAAGGGGGACATCAAGTGAGGTATTTTGTATATTAACTTTATTAATTATGTTCATACATAAATGGATTTCTTTTTTTATTTTTTATTTTTGTTTGTTTGCTTTTTTTGAGGTGGAGTCTCACTCTGTCACCCAGGCTGGAGTTCAGTGACGTGATCTCGGCTCACTACAACCTCTACCTCCCTAGTTCAAGCAATTATCCTGTCTCAGCCTCCAGAGTAGCTGGGATTACAGGTGCCTGCCACCACGCCCAGCTAATTTTCCTATTTTTAGTCGAGAGGACGTTTTGCTATGTTGTCCAGGCTGGTCTCGAACTCCTGACCTCAGGTAATCCACTCGCCTCAGCCTCTCAAAGTGCTGGGATTACTGGCATGAGCCACCGTACCCAGTCATAAATGGATTTCCTCATGGACATCTTTTTCATACAGACTGAAAATGCTCAATCCAGATGTAAAAAAGATAGTGTACCATGCCACTGGAATGAATAAAGTGAAAGAGAACAGTTAGAGCCAAAAGCCAGGCACGGTGGCTCATGCCTGTAATTCTAGCACTTTGAGAGGCCAAGGCGGGCAGATCACTTGAGCTCAGGATTTTGAGACCAGCCTGGGCAACATAGCAAGATCCAAGACCTTGTCTCTCCAAAAAAAAAAAAAAAAAAATTAAAAAATTAGCTGGACGTGGTGGCGTGCACCTATAGTCCCAGCTACCTGGAAGGCTAAGCGGGAGGATCACTTGAGCCCAGGAAGTTGAGGCTACAGTGAGCCATTTCATGCCTCTGCTCTCCAGCCTGGGAGACAGAGTGAGACTCTGTCTCAAAAAAAAAAAATAGTCAAAAGAGAGACTACAGAAATATATATCACACACATTAACACAGAATTAATATTACACAGAGTTATGGGAAACAGATATTTAACAGAGCCCAGTCAACCATGCTCCCCTGTGTAGAGTGAAATCGTTAAAGATGGCATCCAATTAACAGATTCTGATTGAGCTAGACAGAATGGCTAAATAATGATATTTATCCAGTCTGTATATATGCTGATCTTTCAAGCTATTTCTAATATTAACTTTTAAGAAATGAAACATATATTTCTATATTTGAGAGCTTAAAAGTGGATATGCCTTAAGGAAAACATTGCAGACTTATAGAGCCTCCTGGGCATACATCTTGTCCTGCCAACACTGAAATCAGAAAATAGTAAGTGAAAGCAATTACCTTCATTGACTCAACATAGCTTAGCTATTCTTGAAACAGAGCTTATCAATGAGAAATCAGCTAGGAAAGTCACTTTCCAGTTCTCAACATTTCAATCGTGGAAGGTGACACAAATGTCACAGGCTGCGATTTCCTAACTCCCTAATTTGCTTTCCCTCAGGCATACTACTGTTTCCTTTGGAGAGGAAGGAGCAACTGGAAGCCAGCAGCTGAAGGTTCCTTCCCTTCAGTTACTCCCCTCACTTCACACTCCTCATGCCTCTCACTTCACCGTCTCCTTTACCTTTAATGTCATGAAGTTCCAACATAAAACCTAAACCTGTGGTAGCCCTTTCTAAATCAGAATGTGCAGCTCCACTTGGCAAGGCACCACATCTACTTTTAAAATATACACCGTACCCAGCCACAATGTGAGCACTCAGCACCAAACATACGTGTCAAACAGTAATAACTTCAACATTTGCTCACCATAACCTCAGCATATGTTCAAATAATATGGGCTACTAAAATTTCACTACACATGTACTTTTCTACCACCTCTACTGCACAGAAAGCTCATTCAAATTTAAGTCTCAGCAGCACTGAAATATGTTTATTTATAATATTATTTTCCAGTTTGGGTGGAGAGCCAATTTATACACTTTCAATAATTTCAATAAACAAGTAGGCTATATCCTTCCTATCACAGTCTTCATTGTACGTCTGTTATCATATACAGCAATATTATTTTCTTAATGTTGACTGTGCCACCTGTGTGTGTGTGTGTGTGTGTGTGTGTGTGTGTGTGTGAATCAATAGATATAGAGGCAGATAGCTGCCATCCATTAAATGCTTACTCTATGCCAGGCAACATGCTAATCACTTCACTCATTTGTTTAACAAATATTTATTGAACACCTCTGATGTGTCAGACACTGGATTAGATACTAAGAACATAGGAGCTAAAAAGACAAACATAGCCTGGTCCTCATGAAGCTTATAGTCTAGTAAAGAAAACAAAGTTTTAAAAAACATTATAACAAGGAATCTAACCAATCCAAGGTTTTGACACTGATAAAGCAGCATCTTTGCGAACTGAGAGATAGTATAACAGGTGAAAAGTGGGAGCAGAATGTTCCTGTTAGAGGAAACGAAACATTAAAATGTGCAGTTGCTTTGAAAAGGTAAAAAGAACTCGAGGGGAAGGGGAAAAGTGGTTAATGGTGATGCTGGAGGAATGGGCAGTGGCAAGGTCAGGGAGGGCACTTTAAGCATATTGAGGAATTTGGGCTTTACCCTGAAGACAATGAGAAGGTGCTGTGGGGATGTAAGCAAGGCAGTATCACCATCAGATGTGCATTTTATAAGATTCCTCTTTCCTCAGTATGGAGCAAGGAGTAGTCACAGAGACCAGTTCGAAGCCATTGCCCATGAATCCAGGCTGGAGATAATGATGACCTAGACTAAGGTGCAAACACGAGGAGGCACAAAGAGAACGGATTCAAGAGAATGGATGTGGTGATGCCTTAGGACTGGAAGACAGATTGAACTTGCAGGGAGACATGTAGGAGAGAAAGGAATCAACAAATTGCCCTGTAGGTGTAATTGTGGTAGAAAGCCAAGCAAGATTATTCCCCTGGGAACACAGCCAACATTTTCTTTATTGTTTACTGTTTCTTTACTGTCGTGCCTCAATTATCTTAGTTCTCCATTGGATGATATATACACCTACGATACCTACAACAAGAAAGACTCAAAGCACTTTTTAATTAGTAGGCAAGCACTATCTTCATTTCACACATAGAAAAAAACATAGTTTACACAAAAGGACTATTCGTACTTCGTTCCTTGGCTTCATCTGAATCTTTTTTGAAGACCATGAATAGAAATTGAGACCCAGTTTCCAAATGAGTATGTTTTCCTAACACTCTACTACTTTATCATTCAAATTGTTTTGTTTTGCTTCTCAAGCACTCTAGGTTCTGTTAATTCAGGAATATTAGCAGAAATCCTAAAAATATATGATTTTAGAGTCCAATAAGCAGACTTTCAAAATTTACTTAGTTGCTTAGTGATTATGCTCATAGCATCATAAAAGCTAAAATTGATGAGAAGCCAGCAGAGCCTATTTCAAAAACCAGTAAGCTCTATTCCAATAACTTTCTGTCAACTTCTAAAACTTGAAAGTCAGATCTATAAGACCAGTAAAGGATCAGTGTGAAGGGCAAGATTGGACACAACCCTACAATGCACACTCATCAATAGCATAAGGTACCTATTTTATGAAGTGATTATTCTATCTTTTCTACAAATATATAAAAAGCCACCATGAAGATGGCTTGATGATGTCTATTATGACTGCTAGTGATATCATTATAAGAGTCTACATACTTTGGAAACTCCCCAAAATTAAGTCTCTGTCTTATGTGAGATAAAAAAGATGTATGTGGAGAGAAGACATCAAGATGGTTAATGCTCTCTCTTATTTTACAAATAATTCCACCAATAGTGCAATGCTGATTCTTCATGTATTTACTCGGTGCAAACAAGAAAGAATTAAAATTTAGAACATTGTCATCCAAGTGGCACACACACAGAAAAAACAAACCAAACCAAGTAAGTAGTTGAAGTACTGTTTTGAAAGGACATTATATAAAAACAGATTGTCTAAGAAACTGACTATCTGGGAAAAAATGGATATTATTCAAAGCTGACCTTGAATATAATAGAGTATGGAATTAGCAAGTTGAAATATCTAGCAGAAATGTACACAGACACAAATGGCTATGTGTTCTCACTGACCTGAAACACTACAGGATTAAACTTATCCTCCTATTATCTACTTTTTAACAGAAGTGCTTAACCTTTTATTCCTATGTTACCATTTCACAAATGTGACAATGCATCAATTATTCTTAGAACCAACTCACAAAAGATTAGTGGTTTTTATGTGGGTAGAAAGAGCAAGTGTCAAGATGAGCTGCATCAACGGAACAGAGATCACCACTCTAATCAACAGGGTGCTATTGTGTACTTCACACACTACAGTTCAGAAAATATACATTTTTTGAGACAAGGTCTCACTCTGTCACCCATGCTGGAGTGTGGTGGCACAATCTTGGCTCACCTCAGCCTCGACCTCCTCAAGCTCAAGTGATCCTTCTGCCTCAGCCTCCCAGGTAGCTGGGACTACAGGTGCACACCACCATGAGCAGCTAAGTTTGTGTTTTGGATTTTCTATTTTTATTTTTTTATGAGACAGGCTCACTTTGTTGCCAAGGCTGGTGTTGAACTCATGGCCTCAAACTATCCTTCCACCTCTCAAATTGCTGGGATTACAGGTATGAGCCACCTTGCCCAACCCTCCTCTGAAAAATTGACGTAGAGATCTTCAAACCTAGGACTTGTACTTTAAGTCACAATCCACTACAAGCCAAGTTTCCAAAATGTTAACATTGATGAGTGAATTCACCAAGGGCTCACTATAACTTTAGTGGTAGTAAAATACCAGAAAAGTCATGATCTCATTTATTTCAAGAGGAGAAAGAGAGGGGTAGGAGAGGAGGAGGAAGAGGAGGAAGAAGAGGAAGGAAGGAAGGGAAGGGAAGGGAAGGGAAGGGAAAGGAAGGGCACAAAAAAATAAAGATCCACAAGAGGGTTTATAATCTATAATAGAGTGAAAGCAAACTGCCTCAGTCCCTATAAGCCCAACCCTTTAAAGTTTCCATAATAATAATAATAGTAATAGCATCATTTTAATGGTACTTACTTTATTCCAGGCTCTGTTCTAAAGGTGTCATATATATTAACTTAGAGGTACTATTAATATGCTTACACTGCAGATGAGGTTACTGAGGCACAGGGAGGTAAATAACTTGCCCAGAATTACTAACCAGTGGAATCAGCATTTGAACCTAGACAGTTCTGTCTTCAAGAGCTAGTTGCTGTGTCCTTAGTCTTTATTACAGAATCTCTAGATACAGTGCTACTCAAAGTGCTTGTTCATGAAATGTTCATTACTGGTCTGCAATGAGATAAGGTGCTTGCAACCAGAATATAACAACTAGGTCACTAAACACACCGTCCAGATTAGCTGACATTATTATTATTATTATTATTATTATTATTATTATTATTATCATTTTGGTGTACTTTATACATGAAAGAAGTAGTGTGCCTGTTTACAGCTTGGCTCAAGTTGCTTATCTCATCTTCAACCAGTAACAGTTCCTGGACTAGCAACAGTCTGCAAATTGCCTTTTTTATTTTTTTGAGACAGAGTCTCACTCTGTTGCCCAGGCTGGAGTGCAGTGGTGCGATCTTAGCTCACTGCAACCTCTCCCTCCTGGGTTCAAGAGATTCTCCTGCCTCAGCCTCCCGAGTAGCTGGGATTACAGGCAACTGCCACCACACCCAGCTAATTTTTGTATTTTTGTATTTTCAGTAGAGAAGGGGTTTCACCACGTTAGCCAGGCTGGTCACAAACTCCTGACCTCAAGTGATCTGCCCACCTTGGCTTCCCAAAGTGCTGGGATTACAGGTGTGAGCCACCATGCCTGGTGGGTAAATCGCCTTTTAAGTGGTGTGACCTTAGAAGATTATCTTCCCTGGATTGAAAGAAGGAAGGGAGCTAACACTTTTGAGCAACAAAATCACCTTGGCTTTGTCCATGTCATCCTGCAAACAGCCCTTTAAGGTAGGTGTTAATCAATGTGGTGAACCGTCTATTTCACAGTCTCACAGCTAGTAAGTGGAA